>NC_000006.12:47332727-47635757 GCF_000001405.40 Homo sapiens | reverse complement strand
TGATGAGTTAATGGGTGCAGCACACCAACATGGCACATGTATACATATGTAAAAAACCTGCACGTTGTGTACATGTACCGTAGAACTTAAAGTATAATAAAAAAATAAAATAAAATAAAAAAAGAAATCCAAGCCAGGTCAAAACCAAAACCCAAGTATCAAGCAATCCAAGTCAAGTCAAAAACAAAAACCAAAGCGCAGGTACAGGCTGCCATGGGTGATCAGGCCACGCTTCCACTCAAATGGAGTGGGCGAGTTCCGAAGACCAGTCTTACCAAGTTTCAGATGTCCAGACTCCTAGTGCCAGTTCCTTCCCGGTGTTCAGCCACTGCGTTGATCCTCCACGGGGGCCTGCCAGGCACTGCTCTGGTGAGCTGTTCCACTAGGGCAATTGCCTACCCGCGAGCGCTCTCAGGATTCGTGTTGCTCAAGCTGGCTGGAGTCCCCCACAGGGATGTTCCACAGGGCAGACCTAAGCCTCCTAAGGGGCTGCCTCGAAGTCTGTTAATCACCTCGCTTCCCGGTCAGGGAACCAAGAAATGTAGCAGGACAAGCCACAGACAAAACCCCTCAGACACCAAGTTAAAGAAGGAAGGGCTTTATTAGGCCAGGAGCTTCGGCAAGACTCACGTCTCTAAAAACGGAGCTGCCCGAGTGAGCAATTCCTGTCCCTTTTAAGGGCTTACAACTCTAAGGGGGTTTGCGTGAGAGGGTCGTGATTGATTGAGCAAACAGGGGGTACGTGACTGGGGGCTGCATGCACTGGTAATCAGAATGGAACAGAACAGGACAGGGATTTTCACAGTGCTTTTCCATACAATGTCTGGAATCTATAGACAACATAACCAGTTAGGTCAGGGGTCAATCTTTAACCAGGCCCAGGGTGCGGCGCTGGGCTCTCTGCCTGTGGATTTCATTTCTGTCTTTTAGTTTTTACTTCTTCTTTCTTTGGAGGCAGAAATTGGGCATAAGACAATATGAGGGGTAGTCTTCTCCCTTAATAAGCTATTTTGTTTTATTCAGAATTTTATCTTCCAAGAGCAAATATTTCCTGGAGAGCAAGTACCTAATCTATTTTTGTTTGCTTTTGGTATTTCACTTGGGACAGGAAAGAATGTCCAGTACCAGTATTGTTTATCACAAGGACAGGAAAGTATGTTGGTTTGAATTCTCAGCCATCAGGAAAACTTACTTCTAAAGTTCTAAAATTCACCCTCAAATTTTTAATTTATATTTTCTCTTCTTTGTCCACCACCCAGTTTTCCTCAGCTTTGTTGTTTAAGTAGTCGATAACCTCATTTCTTATCTTAGTCACTAAATAGGCTTCAGGCTCAGATTTGATCAGCAGGGGATCTTATTATCTTCCTCTTTCCAGTGTCATTATCTACCATGAAATTAGTTGTCTAGCTAATTTTAAGAGTCTAGTTGTTGGAATGGTGAATTATTCCCAGGGTAAAGTGTTTCCTTTTCACTGTATTCATCAATGCCCCTCAAAACTCCCTGGGCAAGTCACTATTTATTCTGGGGATGATTTTTTAAAACACCCCCCACCTAAAAAGTACTTTCACTCACTGGTAAGCTGAATCCTTTGTCTGAAGCCTTCCTTTACTGCCATAAAGAAGGGAAGGGTGAATACCACAGCATAGGGAAAAGAAGGCTAGAATATAGGAACATTTCAATCTGACAGGAAGCAGAGAGCCTGTGGCTGGCAGAATAATCCCCACCACCACCACTGCCACCTAGATATATACACACATTCTAGTCCCAGGAATCTGTGAATACATTACCTTACACGGCAAAAGGGATTTTGCTAATGTGATTAAGAGCCTTCAGACAGGTGGGCCAAATGTAATCACAAGGGTTTTTAAGAGTGGAGAGGGAGACAGAATCAGGGAGAGGTGATTATGCATGAAGGATGGAGGACTGCAGTTTAAGAAGGGCTCAACCCTCTACAGGTGGCTTTGAAAATGGGGAAAGGGGGCCATGAGCTAAGAATTGCCAGCAGCCTAAAGAAGCTGGAAAAGGCAAGGAAAGGAATTTTCCCCCTAGAGCTTCCTTTGGAAGCCTTAATTTTAGCCCAGTGAGATTCATGTCAGACTTCTGACCTCCAGCATATAAAATAATACATGTCTATTGTTTTTGCACCACTAAATTTGTGTGATAATTACAGCGGCAATAGAAAGCTAATCCAGAGCCCTTCTGGTTCTGAACAAGAGAAGTTCCGACACAGAGAGCAAGAGCAAGGGCCAGGCAAGAGGTGAGATGTCTTCTCACATCAATACTCAACTAGGGAGGAAAGGGGCAGAGGAGAGCAAGAGGCTCAGAAACACGGAGTCTTGTCTCCTCCTGCTCCCTAGAGGATGTATCCACTTCTTGCACACACAGACACCACACTAAGAACAAAGGCAGATCCCTGAGTGAGGAGAAACAGCCCAAGGGAATTTTATGTTGATTGCTACTTATTTTGTATATGCAGTGATTTATAATTTAAACCAGATGACAGCTGGGCATGGTGGCTCATGCCTGTAATCCCAGCACTTTGGGAAGCCAATGCGGGCAGACCACTTGAGGTCAGGAGTTTTTGAGACCAGTCTGGCCAACATTGCAAAACCATGTCTCTACTAAAAATACAAAAATTAGCAGGGCATGGTGGCACATGCCTATAGTCTAGCTACTTGGGAGGCTGAGGCACAAGAAACACTTGAGCCGGGAGGCAGACGTAGTGAGCTGAGATCATGCCACTGCACTCCAGCCTGGGCAACAGAGTGAGACTCCATCTCATACACGTACAAAAAAAATAATCAATTAATTAATAAGCCAGATGAGAATGTAGCCTTTGAATGGCAATTTTTTTCTTGCCTCAGTAAGAACACAGGTTCAGATCAAGATAAACAAACATAAAGGCATTTTTGCATTACACATACATTCACAAATTCAATAGACTAAAACGAATATACATTATTTTATTTCATTCTCTACTTCTCCCTCTCTCTCCATGGAACTGGTGATAATCTTGGTGAGACTAAGGAAACGGTCCCTGAATACTTTTATGTATACTATGTTGTTTTTCTCATACTCCAGGATTTTTATCACTATTAAGAATCATAATCACTAGTTTTGTCACTTGTTCAAAATACTGTCTAAGCCCTGGGTCAAGACTTACTGATATCCATGAAAGGTTTTGCTTTTCCCTAAAGCATACTGCAGATGGCTGGCTATTTTGTCAGTGGAAAGATCTGTGTGATGTTGTCTTGCTCTGTCCTCCTATATAGCATGTTTCACTTCTGAAGTCTTTCAGGTGACCACGTTCCTTCTGGGGTAGGACTATTCTCTGCTTCTGTGACCCTACAGTCACATCATCACCACAATATGGACATTTTAACCCCATTTTGGAGAGAAAAGTCATTTCCTGCTTAGAATTTGGGCAGAAAATGGATTCACTTTTTCAGGCATGGTCGTGGCACCATAGACTCTCTCCACTGACCACTGGCTCTGGACTGTACTGGCAGACTCCAACTCTATATGAATTATACTAGACTTCACATAGGAAAAAGACAGAAGTGGCAAAACCAGAGATGCCCTACCAGAAACTCCTTAAGAAGCCTGGAGCACAAAGCTCACTACAAAACTATTATATGAGCTGGTTACATAAGCAACCATAAATGGGATTTGCTTTCTCTTTGGCCTGGTTGTGGTAGGAGCACATTGCAGGACAAAATGGAGGAACGGGAGGTGCCACCAGAGAATCAAGGACAGGAAGTGGCAAATAACACATGTGAGAAAAGGTTCAGGACTCACTGCAGCAACCTGGGGTCAAAGGAGCCCTCAAGGCGTCAACATCCAACAGAAATGACAAACAAGAGCAAGATGGTTTTGTTGCTGCTGTCTGACTTGTTCTCCCAGAACTCAGGGCCTCCTTTCTCCCTCTTCCCTGAGTAAACGGCAAGAAGGAAAGGGTTTAAATTCTGGCAAAACAAAGTTTTTATGTCTCTTTAGATAAGGAAAGGGATAAGACTTGAGTGATTTGCCAAGTTCACACAGCTACTCATTTTTAGAGCCAGTTTTCAGAGCGAGATCAGTTCGATTCCAAGGCCCCAACTCTTTTTACCCTATCATGTGGCACTTAGCTTGGGGAAGTAATCAGGCTAGGGAAGTAGGGTTGGTTGTGTCCCAGTTCTGGGTGAAGGTTGGAGCCCTCTCTGATTTTATTTGCAGCTGCTACCTGTTTATGGTTTCAAGACACATATAAGCTGAGCTTTATTTGACTGCCATCTAGTGGTCATTTAATTTTGTTTTTTTCCTTTTTTCTTTTTTTTTGAAAGACAGGGCCTCATTTTCTTGCCCAGGCTGGAGTGCAGTGGCGCGATCTGCAGCCTCAACCTCCTGGGCTCAAGCGATCCTCCCGCCTCAGCCTCCCAAGTAGCTGAGACTATAGATGCACACCAACACACCCAGTTAGTTTTTGTTTTTGTTTTGTTTTTAGTAGAAACAAGGTCTCCTTATATTGCCCAGACTGGGCTCTAAGCTCAAGCAATCCTCCCACCTCAGCCTCCCAAAGTACTGAGATTTCAGGCATGAGCCACCGTGCCTGGCCCATTTAATTTCTTTATGGAAGCTACGTAAGGTTGTTTATTGTGTTTTTGCTGAAAAGCCATGAAAACCATTTAAGTTTGCAAAGATGTACACTAAGAAATGAAGAACGTTTCCCAAAATCTTGTGTGACCACATCACAGAGAAATCTAAAAACTATGAGATCCCTGAAAATAGACTTTACATTTAGTCTCTTACTGGTGGAAAAATGTTGACAGACTTAATATAAAGGATCACAAAGAGTGAAAGAAGTAAGACTAGACTAGAAGAAATTAATATTCCCCAGGCAGGCTCCTTCTTTCCTATATATTATCTATGTAGAGAGGCAATAAAGCTTATGAGCAAAAGCACAGGCTTCAAAACTCGGTTTCTTGGGCTGAGTTCAGCTCCAGGCCTTATTAGCTCAGTGGCCTTGGCCAAGTTGCTTAACCTTCCTTAGCCTCTTTCCCGTGTGTGGAGTATAATACCTCCTAGCACGCAGGATTGTTGAGATGATTAGATAGGATAGACAGGTAAATTAGATAGCAATTACTTGGAATAGCACTTGGTATGTGGTAAGCACAATATAAACATTAGCTATGTTTGACGCGATGCCTACTTTTAAAGGTAAGTTTACTATAAAATGTAGGGTAAACTGACCATCTAAAGTCCAGTATATAAAATTTGTTAAATACATTTTAAGAGCCTAATGCAGTCCCTGGAAGAATGTCTGTTTTATAGCAATCGGCATGATAGTGGTTAGTCTTGAGGAGATATTATACTTGAATATTTGAGGAAGGAAGAAAAGGTAGGAGACGGTAAAGACAAGGGGTAGAGAGAATACCTCCCCTTTTGTCACTTATTCATCCACTAAACATTTACTGATTGTCTACTACATGCTAAAGACCATACTAGGTCATTTTAGGTCAGTGGTTCTCAAAGTGTGGTCCACAAGGTCAAAACAACTTTCATGATAATACGAAGATGCTAGTTGCTTTTCTCATTGTGTTGAGATTTGCACTGCTAGTGTAAACGCAGTGGTGACGGTGACTAGAACTGCTAGGCACGCATCAAGACAGTGGTACCATTTTGTTACTGTGTTCTTCACCACCATACCCAGTACAGGAAACCCCTTCCTTTTATCAAAGTGAACATTTTATTTTTCTCTTATAATTTCATATCATGCATTGAGATTGATAAATTTCCTGATATGAAATCTCTCCCTGTGAGATTTGGTTTATGATGATCAGGTTTAAAGTTATGCTGGATTCATAAAATAAATTGGGTGGCTTTCCATCTTTTTCTACAGTTTGAGTAGCTTAAAGACCAATTAAAACACAGCCATCATCTGGCCTTGCTGTCTTTCTCAGTTGTAGAGCCTTAAATACGTTTCAAATTCACTTACGGTGTGTTTAGTCAATTAAAAATTTCAACTTCTTCTTTGAGTCAGTATTCATTCTTTAAAGTTCCATAACTTAACAGATGTCTTGGTGTTACATATCATGCCATTTTTTTCCTCCTGGGACATAAAGGATTTTAATCAAGGTTTTCTTCTGGACAACTTTTTTTTTGTTATATAAAACACAGGTATCCATAAAGATACTTGTGTCTGATTACTCACGTTTCCATGGTGTCAGTTATTTGATGAATAGCACAGCAAGGAAGAAGAGCTATAAATTGTTAGCCAAAATATTCTCTCATTACATCTGTCTTCCCTAAGAGCATGTCTCCTTCTCCTTGGTTTTCAGACTTCCAATTATTAGGGCTTACAGTTAGTGAGGCTTCTCTTTCAGCTCCACATTCCCCAGCTATCCTTCTGTACAGGATTTGAGCCTACAATGATCAGATGAGCCTTTCAGAGAAATCTGCATCTGGCACAAAGTCTGGGAAAGTTTATATCAGATTTCAGGTTGCTCCCTCCAAAACATTTGGAAGGTATTTTTACTATTATAAATTGTAGCTTCCTTATTTCATCTGAAAAGCAATGTTTTTATCTTAAATCTGCTTTTTAATCTATTAATATCAAATCTTTTTCATTGTACTTACTGTTTTTAATGAGTCTCAAGGGAGGAAAAGACAGTAAAAATGTCATCACTCCGTCACATCGTTTACATTCTGTTCAGTTAATGTTTAGGAATATCTCTAAAAATCCACTCTACCATGAAAAGTTAACATGTGATTTTATTAAAGAATTGTTACTCATTGGGCATGGTGGCTAATGCCTGTAATCCAAGCACTCTGGGAGGCCGAGGGGAGCAGCGCGGATTGCTTTAACTCAGGAGTTCAAGACCAGCCCAGGCAACATGGTGAAACCCAGTATCAAAAACAAAACAAACAAAAAAAAATTAGGTGGGTGTGGTGGCATGCACCTGTAGTCCCAACTACTCAAGAGGCTGATGCAGGAGGATTGCTGGAGCCCAGGAGGCAGAGGTTGTAGTTAGCTGAGGTCGCACCACGGCACTCTAGCCAGGGTAATAGAGAAGGACCCTGACTGGAATAAAAAAAAAAAAAAGTTTCTCAATGCACTTAAAATGTAGTTTTACTTTCAATAACTTTATTCACACACTTTTAAAGGGAACTGAAATGTAGTCAGTAAGAAACACTTGGAACCTGATAGGAAATAATACCATCCAATAGTTGCAAAATAGCCACACCTTTCATGACAGAAAAAAACTATTGACTCTATACAAAAAATACTGATATCTATTTGTGAATTTATTTTCCTTACATGGAAGAGCAGATTCACAAAAATGGTGTCAGTGGTAAAATAAATGCAACAGGATTCAGAAAAAAAAATTTTAACACCCAGACCCAGTCTCTCTTGCATCTTGAGAATACAGCCTAATAAATCCAGGTGAGTTAAACTGCTACCTGCTTTTATTTCCTAGAACTGGGCTAAATTTGCAAATTGTATTTTCAGACAAAACCATCTGCACTCTTCAAACACAAATTCTATAGTCCAAAACTTTTACCATTATATGCCTCCAAAGTTTTTTGTCTAGTGCTTCTAAAAGCCAGTAAGAACTAGAAATTTTTTAAATAAGATTTTAAAAATCTTATGACACACTAATTTTCCACATTGCTTTATAGTGGTGTCCTATTCCTTCTGTTTCAAATCTTCCAGCACACTACTAGAATCTCTAAAGCTATATGTGATCTATGTTCAGCAAAAGTATGTGGACCTTAATGTTCTCCTGATTTCATCTTGTTTTCTGTTATTTATCAGGACTTTTTCGGTTGTGAGTTCAGAAACCCAACAAGCTTATGAGCAAGTCTGTGCTTATAGAACCAAGCAATAGACAGCTGAGACTCAGCAACAGCTACAATCAGTTTCAAAGTCCTTCCAGATTCTGTTTCCATCTATCTATGCTCTACTAAATTTTGTTTTTCAAATCAGCTTTTTCCAGATGACAGAAAAACAGAACTGTGGAGAGCTCCCATGCTGAGATTAGCTCTTTTTGTTTCCAATTTTAAAAATTTCATTCTTTGATTAACTCAGTAACTCAGTTTGAGCCAAGTACTCTCTCAAGGGATTTCCTGGGTGGGGTGATCAAGGAGGTAGAATCTGTAAGATGGTAGCAGCTCCCCTTTGAACAATATAATACAAATGAAAGGAGCATCTCCCCAAAGAAAAGGATACTATACCGTATTCAGGGGGAAAGGATACACAATGCCTCCTTTTTCTTAACCTTATCCATCTAATTTTTATCATATCCATCACTGTAAAATGCTTTTTAAAAAGGTAAAACAGCAGCCTCCATTTTTTTTTTAAAAAAAACCTACTCTATGCCAAGCACTCTACAAAGCCATTTAGATAAACTATTTCAAATTCTCCCCATAATCCTGTAAAGTAGAAATTACTGTCTCAGTTTCAGATGAAAAACCAGACTCAGAAAAGTTCAGTAAAAGTCATACGGGTCTAGAATTTTTAATGTTTTTGGTTTACTATTTATTCTTGTATTTGGAAATTGAAGTAATATAATTTTCATCATACTCTGAAATACACAAATGCTAAAGTTAACAAAAAATAACCAATAAAGACTGACACGACTGGCAATAAAATCCTTTAATTTTTCTTTTTGAGAGAGAAGCATGCTTTTAAATACAGCACCTGTAAACAAGTTAGTGAAGTATATACTATTTTGAGATTCCCCCTCTCAATTTTTTTTTTGGAATGTTAGGTTACAACATCAACTGCATTACGTAACAGTTATTGAAAGCAAGTCAGGGTAAAATTTTATAGCCAAAAATATTCATAGCAGCAACTTTTAAAATATGATTTTATTAAATCAAGTCATTGCACTTGGTCATTTTATTGCTACAGCAAAACAAGGCCTTTACATTATAATACTTCTCATTTCTGATTTAACTGATTGTCTCATTCTGCTCATACATTTCAAGTTTAAATGCAAGCATAAAATGTTTATCAACAAATCTAGAGAGCACTTGGATTTTTAATTTTTCTGTGATCACAGTAAGGAGCATAAAAAAGAGTATCTTCTGTTACACAAGGCCTGTTCTCTCTTTACATCTTCAGACTTAAATTCTGTAGAAGGTAACAGCTTTGTATTAAGACAGAAGCTTAGTGGTCACAAACAAAAAATAACACTGAAATACAATTCAGAAATTAATGATACTGTGTGTCTCAAAGAATACCTGAACTATACATTCACTAATAATTTGGCAATGAGATTCCATGCTGTTCAACTTTTGTCTTTTATACTCACACGTAGAAAAAAAATTCATGATTTACCCCAAGGTTATTATTAAATATCATTTTGTGATATGAACTTTAGTAATAGAAATTAATAACATTTCCCATACCAACAGAAAGTAAGTTGCTAGAATAAAGGAATCATTTTTCCCATCAGGCCTGGGTTTGTTTGGTTTTCTTTACTATTTTATCAAGGACAGAAAGGTAAAAGTATTTCAGTTACTTTTCTATTCTGACTGAGGAGGACACAAGCAAAAACTTTAAATACATTTCCATGCTCATAAGCATCTTGATTTCATGTACTATTGAGAAAATGACCAACAAAAACTTTAAGAACAGCCTGAAATCTGCTGGAAACTTCCCTCATCCCATTATTAGGATGACCAGGGATCACTTCAATAGATTTTCAGGTGAGAAAGCTGGAGGATAATTTCTAGGATTACAATATTTTTGTTTTACCTAAGGTTGGTCATTAAAAGAAAGTAAGATTTAATTTATTTAACAAGAAGAAAATAATTCATTTGACTAGTCATTTAAACCTATTCTATTTAACAGAAGAGGGAACAATTTTGTTCAGTAGTGACCTCATTAGAAGAGCCCATTTTGAAGAGTTCTAATGTATATTCTCAATATATAATTAGCATTCCCCCAAACCCCTAATGTAAGTTGTAAATTAAACATTATGTTGTTTACTGGCATTTCTATTTTCTACTTCAGTTCTCTTTATTTGAAACATGACAAAATTTCATTTACATAAGATTTCTATATTATAAGATTAAAATTTAAAGGAAAAATATTGGTTTGGTGGTTTAAAACTAAAAAAAATGGAAGCATGATCATTGGTACTCAAAAATCTGACACTCATTTGCGATATAATAAAGCATAAAACAATTTTTTGCAAATAAAAAATTTCAAATTTTAAAAATTTAAATAAACCCACTTGTGTTTTAGATGTTACCTACAGACAGAACATTTTAAAGCATTCAACTGTTCATAAGTAACTCTGAAGAAACAACTAATTCATCCATTCTGTGAAAATGTATTTTAAATATGTTCAACTATATTTGGTTTTAAATAAGCTGTAATGTTATATTTTATGACATACTAACATTCTTTATAAAGTTTGTACCTAAATAATAGTTCAAAATATCTCCATGAGTTAGTTTGGTCTATTAGGTAAATTATACATCGTAAAACCTGAGTATTTACAAGTTAACTTGTCAAAATAGGAAACCTCACACTGAAGTTCTGAAAAGCTTTGGGTTTTGTTTTCCTATTACCATTATTAAAAGTCAGAAGGAGAAACATGAAGAACTAAGTGACAAGATAATGAGAAATATTTGAGGCTGTAAAATAAGCAGAAAAGTACAGCAACAGGCTGGTGTTTACATATTTTATATGTGCTGTAGTTTCTAGGCACAAGTTAAGGGTTAAATTAACAGTTTTAGATTCTTCAGACCTAACAAATTTAAAATACAGTTCATATTTCCCCAAATGTTTAACAATCCAACATATTTTAACTAAGTTCCTTTTATGACTCCTATAGTGCAAGCAACATAAAATATTCTAAAAGTTGATGAAATTATTTTGATTATTCATTAGTTCTTACTATATGCATGGGTGAGTAATCTGGTTTATATAGCTAGGAAACTCCTATTTCATCACCCAAAATATAAACAGCATTGCAGACAAACAGGCACAACAGTGTAACCTTCGGTAAGAGGATAAAAGTAAAAATATATATATATATATACACACACACACACACACACACACACACACACACACACACACAGAGTTTATATCCCTTATGCATTATGGAAAAAGTAGTGACTATAGTTACTAAAAGGCTAATCTGTCCCTCTCAAATAGTATATCTTAACAGATTACTTGTAAATATATCACCATATTTATAGTATAGATCTCTTTAAAAATAATACAAGTTTCAATAAAAAAACTACTGTGCACATTCTTATTTATATTCAGTAGTATTTTCAAGCAAACAATTTTTTAAAAAGTGTTTGCAATCCCAGCACAGTTAAGAAATAAGGCCTCTTTTTCTTCATATTGGCAAAACAAAATATATATATAAATTCACCCTCACTCTACTTTTCTATAGATATTACACTTCATTTGCTCATATTTATCACAACAACAGAATTCACAATTTTTAAGTAACAAGTCAGCTGAAGTTCATAGCGTTGCTTCTGAATCCCTGGAACATTATGAACACCAGGTCCACACCACTCAAGAAGACAGGACAGCTTTTTTCAGCTTCTCTATTTCCATCTAAAACAAAAAACATAAATTGAGCAAACATAAAATATCCTTAGTTTAGTAGTTTATTTTACTCTATGTCATTAAGATGTGATCATACTTTCAAGCCTTCAGACTTTTTTTCCAGACCTAAAATCCAGTTTCCCATGCTATAATTTGGTTGAATAAAGTTTCAACAGTACAATGCAAGTTCCTAAATGGCAGTTACAATAAGAAAAAAGCAATTATAGCCCTTTCAGCCAGAACAAATGTTAAGTCATGTGAGCATTTAAAATTAAAGCTGTAAAAAAATCAGTCAGTCCTACAAAGAACAAAAGAATCCTTGAAACCAAATTAAGAAATGTACATGTATCTATAATTAAACAAAGGATACATAAACAACAGTAAAAAGAATAGAGACCTGTTTAGTTCCATGTTTTTCACTAATTATACTTAATTATAATTATAATTATTGTTAAATCACTTGACTTGGTTTCAATTTACTTATCTGTAACCAGTATATACTACATTAAATATCTTAAAGCCCAGGAATATATCTAAGATTCAGTCAAGGTGCTTGATATAGTTCCACCTTTAGGCAGAAGGAAATTCATAACTTAAGGAATTTATGAAGAAGGAGATCATTTCATTAAGTTTGCACAATAACTACACAGAGTTATTCAATACTGCCATATTCAAATGGCTAGGTTGAGGCTCAAAGACATTAAACAGGATGCCAATGTTCCACACTAACAAGTGACACAGGACTTGTCATGGTAAGATTTAGGGCTTTAAAGCCCATGGTTTTTATATTGATTTCTCTTCTCAATTCTATAACATTTTGATCATCTTTAACCTTTCCCTGCATGAGGAAATATATAGGCCTTGCCTTATCCTGATGGCATCACCTTCCTCAAGAGTGCACATAAACAATACATGCTTTGGCTAGCTTCGACAAACAGCACATTATTAAACGATTAGGACTTTGCCATAGTCAAAAAGTATAATTTTTATATGTTCACAATCTCCTAAAGGATTATAACTACTCAAGAACCGTTTATTAATTTCAGGATCTTCCTTGATATGATTCTGTAAATATTATGATGATTAGCTCAATGTTTTAGCAGCACTGGACTACAACAAGCCTGTCTTCAATTTGGATTGAGACGATAGCTTTCATTGTCAGCCCGATCTGTTATTAAAGTCTTTATTCCAAAGATACAGAAAGCGGTAAGAAAAACAAATTGGTAGAAGAGGGAGTAGGGAGTGTGAAGGCTACTACTGCATGCATAATCAGCAATACTTCTTGTAAACTGCTATTTGTGACATACATTTAGTTATCACTGGACAGGGATCATCATGGCGGACAGGAGGCAAGACTAGATTGCGGCTCCAGACAGAACAGCATGCGGAGACTCGCATTGTGTATTTTAACTCCAGACCGACTGCAAGAACAAACCAGCAATCCCGAGAGGACCGACAGACCCTCTGAAGAAAGCGGACTGCTCTTGCAGGACCTGGGAAACACCCCAAATAGTGTGTGTGTCCCAACTGCGGAAGTGAGAAAGGGAGACCCTCCTCTCCCGAACACACACCCCGCACTGGAGAAACTGAAGGTCTGTTTGCAGAAGTTTCCAACTTCACCTGGATCTGACTCAATTTAGAGAGCCAAGCAAAATACAAGGGGGGTAGAGGAAGCAGCTGAAAGGCCCTGGGAGCTTGCTGAGTCCCCAAGCAGGCCATTCCTGCCTGGCACCACAGGGATCCATAGGGAGGGCAGCCAGAGAAGCAGGGGGTAAAACTCCACAGGGAGAAGGAAATCTCTAGCTAAACTTTGTAACAATTTGAACGGGGCGAGAGACCTCCAGGCCACAACTCTGGGTAGGGCGGCAAATCTGGTTTGCAGACTCCACAGGCGAGGGAAGAACCAAGCCCTTTTCTTTCGCAGCTAGAAGGCAGGTAGCCTGGGGCAAGTTTTCAAGCCCATCTCGCCCACTGTCTGGAAACAGGGCTGTTGGGGGAGGCACGGTGGGATTAAGACTGCTCCTTCAGTTTGCGTGGGAGCTGGGTGAGGCCTGTGACTGCCAGCTTTCCCCTACTTCCCTGACAACCAGCATGATTCAGCATAGGCAGCCATATTCCTCCTAGCTACACAACTCCAGTGACCTGGCAATCTCACCTTCATCCCCAACAGCAGCCACAGCAAGACCCGCCCAAGAAGAGCGTGAGCTCAGACATGCCTAGCCCTGCCCCAACCTGATGGCCCTTCCCTACCCACCCTAGTAGTGGAAGACTAAGGGCATATAATCTTGGGAGTTCTACGGCCCCGCCCACTGCTGGTCCCTTGAATGACACAAAAGATCATTCAAGGGTACTATGAACATCATTATGCACATAAACTAGAAAACCTAGAAGAGATGGATGAATTTCTGGAAAAATACAACCCTCCTAGATTAAATCAGGAAGAATTAGAGATCCTGAACAGGCCAATAAGAAGCAGCAAATTTGAAATGATAATTAAAAAATTACCAACAAAAAAAAGCCCAGGACCAGATGGATTCACAGCAGAATTCTACCAGACATTCAAAGAAGAATGGGTACCAATCCTTTCGACACTATTCCACAAGATAGAGAAAGAAGGAACCCTCCCTAATTCATTCTATGAAGCCAGCATCACCCTGATACCAAAACCAGAAAAGATCGTAACCAAAAACGAAAACTACAGACCAGTATCTTTGATGAACACAGATGTTAAAATCCTTAACAAAATACTAGCTAACCAAATCTGACAACATATCAAAAAGATAATCCACCATGATCAAGTGGGTTTCATACCAGGGATGCAGGGATGGTTTAACATACACAAGTCAATAAATGTGATATACCACATAAACAGAATTAAAAACAAAAATCACATATCATCTCAATAGATGCAGAAAAAACATTCGACAACATCCAGCATCCCTTTATGATTAAAACTCTCAGCAAAACTGGCATACAAGGGATATACCTCAATGTAATAAAAGCTATCTATGACAAACCCACAGCCAACATAATACAGAATGGGGAAAAGTTGAAAGCATTCCCTCTGAGAACTGAAACAGGACAAGGATGTCTGCTCTCACCACTCCTCTTCAACATAGTACTGGAAGTCCTAGCCAGAGCAATTAGAGCAGAGAAATAAATAAAGGGCATCCAAATCAATAAAGAGGAAGTCAAACTGTCACTGTTTGCTGACGATACAATCATTTACCTTGAAAACCCTCAAGACTCCTTCAGAAAGCTCCTAGAACTGATAAAACAATTCAGCGAAGTTTCGGGTATAAGAGCTACACAAATCAGTAGCTCTTCTATACACCAACAACAACCAAGCAGAGAATCAAATCAAGAACTCAACCCCTTTTACAGTATCTGCAAAAAAATAAAATAAAATACTTAGGAATACACCTAACCAAGGAGTCAGAAGACCTCTACAAGGAAAACTACAAAACACTGCTGAAAGAAATCACAGACAGCACAAATGAAAACACATCCCACGCTCGTGGATGGGTAGAATCAATATTGTGAAAATGACCATACTGTCAAAAGCCATGTACAAATTCAAGGCAATTCCCATCAAAATACCACCATCATTCTTCACAGAATTGGAAAAAACAATTCTAAAATTCATTAGGAATCAAAAAAAGAGCCCGCATAGCCAAAGCAAGACTAAGGAAAAAGAACAAATCTGGAGGCATCACACTACCTGATTTCAAACTATACTATAAGGCCACAGTCACCAAAACAGCATGGTACTGGTATAAATATAGGCACATAGATCAATGGAACAGAGAACTCAGAAATAAACCCAAATACTTACAGCCAACTGATCCTCGACAAAGCAAACAAAAACATAAAGGACACCCCTTTCAACAAATGGTGCTGGGATAATTGGCTAGCCGCATGTAGGAGAATGAAACTGGATCCTCGTCTTTCACCTTATACCAAAATCAACTCAAGATGGATTAAGGACTTAAACCTAAGACCTGAAACTATAAAAATTCTTGAAGATAACAACAGAAAAACCCTTCTAGTTATTGGCACAGGCAAGGATTTCATGAACAAAAACCCAAAAGCAAATGCAATAAAAACAAAGATAAATAGCTGAGACCTAATTAAAGAGCTTTTGCATGGCAAATGGAACAGTCAACAGAGTAAACAGACAACCCACAGAGTGGGAAAAAATCTTCAGAATCTATACATCTGACAAAGGACTAATATCCAGAATCTACAACAAACCCTAACAAATCAGTAAGAAAAAACAATCGCATCAAAAAGTGGGCTAAGTTCATGAATAGACAATCCTCAAAAGAAGATGTGCAAATGGCCAACAGACATATGAAGAAATGCTCAACATCACTAATGATCGGGGAAATGTAAATCAAAACCACAATCCGATACCACCTTACTCCTGCAAGAATGGCCATAATCAAAAAATCAAAAAACAGTAGATGTTGGCATGGATGAGGTGATCAGGGAACACTTCTACACTGCTGGTGGGAACGTAAACTAGTACAGCCCACTACAGAAAACAGTGCAGAGATTCCTTTAAGAACTAAAAGTAGAACCACCATTTGATCCAGCAATCCCACTACTGGGTATCTACCCAGAGGAAAAGAAGTCATTATTCGAAAAAGATACTTGCACACACATGTTTACAGCAGCAAGACTCACAACAGCAAAATCATGGAACCAACCCAAGTGCCCATCAATCAACAACTGGATAAAGAAACTGTGATGTATATGATGGAATACTACTTAGCCATAAAAAGGAATGAATTAACAGCATCTGCAGTGACCTGCATGAAATTGGAGACTATTATTCTAATGAAGTAACTCAGGAATGGAAAATCAAACATTGTATGTTCTCATGGACATGTGGGAGCTAAGCTATGAGGAAGCAAAGGCATAAGAATGATAGAACAGACTTTGGGGACTTGAGTTGAAGAGTGGGAAGGGGGCGAGGGATGAAAGACTACGAACGTGGTGCAGTATATACTGCTCAGGTGATGGGTGCACTAAAATCTCACAAATCACCACTAAAGAACTTACTCATGTAACCAAATACCACCTCTACCCCAATAATGTATGGAAAAAAATTAGTTATCAGGCAAATACATTGCTAGAGTTTCTCTTTTAGCACTTGTATGTTCATTGTTCATTTTTAGTGAACATTATAATACTGTATAATGTTAACATTATAGTAAAGTACTACTTTTAATCTTTGGAGAAACATCTTTCTCCTTTAAATAAATTATTCTAAAACTTTAGTGCCTTAGGTGTGCTTTTACAAATACAGGGTAAAACTGTGCCCACAACAAAAGAAAAAATATATTTGTAATACAAGTCAGTGAGAGGCCAAGTAACAGCTCACTTTGCTAGAAAAATAAAATCATACTGAATTATCCAAAAGAGAAACAATTTGACTCTTGTCATAATTTTTATGGCAAATTAAGTCAGATATACAAATTTAACACTATTAAGTTCCTCTTATGTCTCATTATCTTATTTTCACATATGAATATAAACATGTATGTATAAAATGTAAGAAAAAAGTCAAAAAACGCTTAAAAATTTCTCAATTTCTACATTACATGCTGCGAATTTAAGATATATTTTTAACATGTACACTTTCATTAATTTGTCAATAATTTATTAGATATCTAATATGTATATAGCATTGTGTTAGGAGCTATGAGCAAAGATAAAAAAAAACATGGATCCTACCCAAACAACCTTACAGTCTCAAAGACAGGTAGAATAAGTACATACCCTAACAGTGAAAATATAGGAAGTTATTATATATACATCTCTTATAAAACTACAAGTCTTGCAAATTTGGAAGACTACTCGTTTTTTTTTGAGACAGTCTCGTTCTGTCACCCAGGCTGGAGTGCAGTGGCATGATATCGGCTCACAGCAACCTCTGCCTCCTGGGTTCAAGTGATTCTCATGCCCCAGCCTCTCTAGTAGCTGGGATTACAGGTGTGTACCACCATGCCCAGCTAATTTTTATATTTTTTAGTAGAGACAAGGTTTTGCCATGTTGGCCAGGCTGGTCTTGAACTCCTGACCTCAGGTGATCCACCCACCTTGACCTTCCAAAGTGCTGGGATTACAGGTGTGAGCCACCGTGCCCGGCCACTAAATTACTTTTAATCAGAGACAGACTAGTATCAATTTAATGAAGGTAATTGTTTGAGCAGGGCCTTGAGAATCTGTAGAACGTGGGCATTAGAAGATGAGGCAAAAGGACAATCCAAGAAAACACAGTAAGAATAAAAATTCGGACTTATCAATTGTAAGAGGCACAATGGAGAATCAGCAAGTAAAGAAAGATAGCTAGGACCAAATTATAAAAACACCTCATATAGTAAGTTGTTGGAACTTTATTCAGCATGTAATGGAAAGCTCTTGAAAGTACTCCATGAAGGAAAGGTTAATCTGAGATAAGAATTAGAGTACTCAAGAAAGCTAAGCAGAAGATAGTAAGCATCAGAACAAGACAGATACAGTGGGGATAAAGACATAAAGATTAGGAGGTAAAGCTAATAGGACTAGAAGTGAATGGAACTAGAAGAGAACTATGTACAAGGTACCATGTCTATATGACTATATGGGCAACAGAAATTATCAACAGCAACAGGAAATCAAAAGAACAGGAAAGGAAGATGATAAATTTAACTGGGGACATGCTAAATCTAAGTTCATGATGAAACATCCAAGGGGGACTAATAGCCAGAAACACAGGATACAAGCTGGGAAAATACGAATTTGATTTAGAGGGGAGAGGCACTAGAGCTAATCATTAGATTCATGAGTATAGATGAATTCAAAATGTGAATGCTCAAACAGAAAAGCCAAGGATACCAGTGAAGGAATATTTACATTTAGGTTACAAGGAAGGAAGAGGAAGGCCAGGCATGGTGGCTCATACCTTTAATCCTACCACTTTGGGAGGCCAAAGTGGGAGGATCACTTGAGGCCAGGAGTTCAAGATCAACCTGGGCAACATGGTGAGAACCAGTCCCTACAAAAAACTGAAAAATTAACCAGGCATGAAAGTGCATGCCTGTAGTCTCAGCTACTTGGGAGGCTGAGGCGGGATCACTTGATCCCAGGAGTTTGAGGTTGCAGTGAGCTATGATTGTGTCACTGTACTCTAGCCTGGGTGACAGAGTGACTCCCTGTCTCTAAAAACAAAATTAAAAAAGTAAAAAAAGAAGGAAGAGGAGATGGAGAAGTTAGAGACAATAGGATGTAGTATCATCTAAACCAAGACAAACCTTTGACAGGGTGGCAATGGTAAAAAATGTGATCTGTTGCAGGCACTGAAGAAGAGACCTTGAATTTGGCATCAGTAAACCTAACCTAAGATGCAAGGGGTTACAGACTGAATTGAAGGTGAAAAATCAGAGACCACAAAAGTAGACTTTTTTTAAGAGGATGGCAGTTGTTTTCATATTTCACAAATGAACCTCAAGTGAAAAGAGAAAGTAACTGCAGTACATCAAGAAGGCAGCTAGACCTAAATGGGGGCTATTCTTTGATTCTGAATAATGGAAAAAGTCAAGTATTTTCATGCAAAGTAGTGAAGTTGCCAATAGAGGATAATGTTGGAAACAAGGATAAAATAAAGTCTGATAATTTACAAAGTACTTTCACATAAATTATCTCAACTAAAGCTAAAGGAGGTTAAGTGACTTGCCTAAGTTCACACAGTATAATTTAGTACCGAAGTGCAAAGGTTCTGAAGATTGGTTGCTTCTGTTAAAAACATCTTTAAGGCCAGGTGCAGTGGCTCATGCCTGTAATCCCAGTACTCTGGAGGGTCATGGCAGGTGGATCACCTGAGGTCAGGAGTTTGAGACCAGCCTGGCCAACATGGCAAAACCCCATCTCTGTTAAAAATACAAAAAAATTAGCTGGGTATGGTGGCACGTGCCTACAGTCCTAGCTACCCGGGAGGCTGAGGCAGGAGAACTGCCTGAACCTGGAAGGTGGTGGTTACAGTGAGCCAAGATCGCACCATTGCACTCCAGCCTGGGTAACAGAGCAAGACTTCATCTCAAAAAAAAAAAAAAAAAAAAAAAAAAAGGCCAGGCGCAGTGGCTCATGCCTGCAATTCCAGCACTTTGGGAGGCTGAGGCGGGCGAATCACAAGGTCAGGAGTTCAAGACCACCCTGGCTAACACAGTGAAACCCCGTCTCTACTAAAAATACAAAAATAAAACTAGCCGGGTGTGGTGGCGGGCGCCTGTAGTCCTAGCTACTCTGGAGACCGAGGTGGGAGAACGGAGTGAACTCAGGAGGTGGAGCTTGCAGTCAGCCGAGTTCGTACCACTGCTAATAAATAAATAAATAAATAAATAAATAAATAAATAAATTAAATTAAATTAAAATTAAAATTAAAATTAAATTTCAGCTCCATTGCTGTTACTTAATCATTGATACGATTTGCATCTGTGTCCCCACCAAATCTCAGATTAAAAGTAATCCCCAGTGTTGGAGGTGGGGCCAGGTGAGAGGTATTTGGATCATGGGGTGTTTAGATGATCCATGTTTGGATCATCCCCTTCATGATGAGTAAGTTCACACAAGATCTGGTTGTTTAAAACTGCGTGGCCCCTCCCACTCTCTCTCTTACTCCCTCTCTCGCCACATGAACTGTGTGCTCCTACTTCCCCTTTCACCATGAGTAAAAGCTCCCTGAGGCCTCCCCAGAAGCTGAGCAGATGCAGGAACCATGCTTCCTCCTATACAGCCTGTAGAACCATGAGCCAATTAAATTTTTCTTTATAAATTATCCAGTCTCAGGTATTTCTTTATAGCAATGCAAGAGTAGCCTAATACTATCATTCCAAACCCTACTTTTTTCAATCTTATAATAGGAACAATAATCCTTACATGTTGTTATGTGTGTCTAATGAGATAATGTGCAAAAAATGCTAAGCCTAACTAATACACAGTTTAAAACAAAAAAGTTAGTTGATTCTCAGGATAAGAGCCAAGGTTTTCCAACTGCAAGTCCCCAATTCTCTCTTGTTCTACAAACTGCTGACAAAAGAAATAGGGTAAGTAATCAGGCAGAATAAAAAACAGAAGGGAGTATGAAATACTTAAACAATGGGAAGAGTCTCTAAAAAAGGTAGGATACAACTTTCTCTGAGATATGCAGAAAGAATAATGCAAATGAACATAAACATTAGTGAAGGAGAAAAAGAAAGCTAAGAAAGATAAAGGAAATAGTCGAAATTGCCAATCACCAGTGGAGAATTAAGATAAACTCTTAAGTTTAAATGGGAGGCAGTGAATCTACAGCCATATGTCACCACTACCAGTCCTGTCCCTGAGCAAAGAAAGAATGAAAATAGCTTAACTGCACAGAAGAGAGAACTACAGGGATACCTCTTTTTATTGTACTTCGTTTTGCTGTGCTTCACAGATACTGCATTGTCTACAATCAAAGGCTTGTGGTAATCCTGTGCTGAGCAACTCTATTGATGCCATTTTTCCAACAATATGTGATCACTTTGTATCACTGTGTCACATTTTGACAATTTTCACAATATTTCAAATGTTTTCACTGTAATTATATATGTTAATGGTGATTTGTGACCAGTGATCTTTGATGTTAATATTGTAATTGTTCTGGCACCCATATAAAACAGCAAACTTAATTGATAAATGTCATGTGTGTTCTAACTGCTACACTGATCAGCCTTTCTTCTGACTCTCTCCCCCTCTACTTGGCCTTCCTTATTATCTGAGATAGAACACGCCTAATAATAAAATTAGGCCAATTAATAACCCAAAAATGGTCTCTAAGTGTTCAAGTGAAAGAAATAATCACATCCCTCTCACATTAAATAAAAAGTTACAAATGACTAAGCTCAGAGAGGAAGGCAATGTTGAAAGCCACAGCAGGTCAAGAGATTGGCCTTTTGCCCCAAACAGCCAAGTTTTGATTGCAAAGGAAAAGTTCTTGAAGAAAATTAAAAGTGCTACTGCAGTGAACATATGAATAATAAGAAAACTTAACAGCCTTATTGTTGATATGAAGGAAAGTTTGAGTGGTCTAGATAGCAGATCTAACCAACTGTAACATTTCCTTAAGCCAAAGCCTAATCCAGAGTGAGGCCCTAACTCTCTTCAATTCTTTGAAGGCCCAACAGAGGTGACGAAGCAGCAGAGGAAAAGTATGAAGGTAGCAGAGGCTGGTTCATGTGGTTTAAGAAGCCATCTCCATGACATAAAAGTGGAAGGTAAAGCAAGTGCTAATGTAGAAGCTGCAGCAAGTTATCCAGAAGATCTAGCTAAGACGGGAGTTGGCTACAGGAAACAAATTTTCAAAGGAGGTAAAACAGCCTTCTATTGAAAGAAGATATCATCTAGGACTTCCATAACTAGAGAGAAGTCAATCCCTGGCTTCAAAGCTTCAAAGGACAGGCTGACTCTTGTTAGGTGAATGCAGCTGGTGGCTTTAATGGAAACCATCACTTATTTATCATTCTGAAAATCCTTGGCCCTTAAGAATTATGATAAATCTACTCTGCCTATGCTCTACAAATGGAACAACAAAGCCTGGATAACAGCACATCTGTTTACAGCATGATTTACTGAATATTTTAAGCCCACAGTGGAGACCTACTGCTCAGGAAAAAAAAAAAAGGATTATTTTTAAAATATGAACGCTCACTGACCATGCCCTTAGTCACCCAAGAACTCTGATGGAAATGAACAAGGAGATTAATGTTACTTTCAGGTCTGCTAACACAACATCCATTCTGTAGCCCATGAATCAAGGAGACATTTAGACTTTCAATTCTTATTATTTAAGATACACATTTTGGAAGGCTATAGCTGCCATAGATAGTGATTCCTCTGATAAATGTAGGCAAATAAACTGAAAACCATTTGGAAAAAATTCATCAGTTTAGATGCCATGAGGAACATTCACGATTCATAAGAGAAAGTCAAAATGTCAATATTTTGGAAGATGATTCCAACTCCCAGGGATGACTTTGAGGATTGAAGACTTCAGTGGAGAAAAGAACTGAAGATGTGGTAAAAACAGCAAGACAATGAGAATTAAAAGTGGATCGAACTTGAACAGATGAGGAGTTGCTTCTTTTGGATCAGCAAAGAAAGTAGCTTTGTGAGGTGGAATCTACTGTTGGTGAAGATCCTGTGAATATTGTGGAAATAACAAAGGATTTACAAAATATAAACTTAGTTGATAAAGCAGAGGCAGGGTTTAAGAGGACTGACTCCAATTTCAAAAGAATACCCTTGCCACTAATTAATTCCACTAATATCCGTCCCACCCTCTGGTATCCATCCTTCTGTTCTCTATCTCTATGAGTTCAATCGTTTCAATTTTTTTTAGCTCCCACAAATAAGTGGGAACATGCAGTTTCTCTTTCTGTGCCTGGCTTAACATAATGACCTCCAGTTCCATCCATGTTGTTGCAAATGACAGGATCTCATTCTTTTTTTGTGACTGAATAGTAGTCCATTGTGTGTATGTCCAACTGAAGTAGTATAGCATAATTTGTACAGGAACCGATTACCCAGTTGGGTTGGGAAAAACATGTCCAGTTTATGCTCACTAAACTCTCAATGCTGGAAGAAATTAATTACCTCTAGATTACTTCTCATTGTCTTCTCTTCTTCCAAATCTTTTCGCAGTTTTTCCAGTTCTTTCCTAAAAACAAAGTACTTATTACTGTTAAGTCTTTCGATTAAATAATTTATTTGACTAATGTTTACAGGCTTTTTGTTACCTAACCTACCAGTTCATGGGAAAAACTTTTTAAGGGCAATAGCAATGTTAATTAAGAAAAATGTAAGATTCTCTAGTTAGAATGGTTCAATATAACAGTTAAAAATTCAGCAAAACCAAGACAAATCTGAGATCAAGAAATCAAGCAAATTCAGAGCAGCTCACGAAGACAGAAATAATATCTAACCTTTAGAAGAAATTTTCTATATTCGGCTATCATACATTTTCCAGGTTGGAAAACTGAAAGCCCAAGCAATTTGGTAAAATGAATATCAACACATCACAATACAAGGCAAGTTAACAGTTTATCTGGTAACATAACCTAGACTTTGAATTTCTTTCTCTATTTTTAAAAATTAAATAACACATTAAAATCCAAAAACCAAACAAATTAAAAACTCTAGCCAATAGTCTCTCCTCAACTCATCTTTTCACCTTCCCGTGTTCCCTTCTAATCTTTCTATATAGTTGTCCTTTTTTCTATAGCTTTAAGTGAATATTCAATATTATGTCTTTTCACAAATTTTAAACCATTTTCATGCTGCTAAAATTTTCATATTTATAATTGTGATTTGGTATTCAAATATCGAGGTTTTTTGTTTGGCTGATTCATTATTCTGGGGACAGAAGGAGTGGAAGGAATCGAGGAATGAGACAGAAGGAATGGGAGGAATATGTTAGTATATCAAATTTCTAAATCAAAAGTATGGACATTTTCAGTCTCAACAAATACTTGAAAAATTCTTGAGAATACTGTAGAAATAACAGCTTGAAAAAGTAAAAAAGAAAAAATTCATGAAGAAAAAATACATAAGGAAGGAATTTTAAAATTATTTATATAATGTTTCAAAACTAACTTCTTGGCAATAATTTCTTAGTGATAACTAAGCTATAAAGATCTACTATTATAAGAGTAAAGCGAAAACCTCTGAACTCCAAGTAAAGAAATAAAATATTACCAGTACCTTGGATATCCCAAAAAGCGACCCTCTTTCCTTAATCCTATTCCCCCCCTCTTCCATAGAAAAAGTTTTATAGTATTTATTATTATTTATTTGTTGTTCTAATTTTGCCACACGCAAATACATTCTTAAAATAATATATTTTCTGGTTTGGTATGCTTTTCAACTTTATACAAATGAAATACACTGATTGCGTGTATGCTTCTGACCTGCTCCCTCCTCTCAATGTTTAGATTAATTCATATTGATGTTGAAACTTACTTTTATTGTTGTATGCTGTGTAGTATTTCTCTATTAATATATCAATAGTATTTATCCCTTCTCCTGCTGATGCAAGTTTTTTAGATATTAAAAAAAAAAAAACCTGCCATTCAGTTTCACTTTGCCAGAGAAACTCAAGATATTGAAAATACCCTTTGGAAAGACTTCCAAAATGTTTTATATTCAAAAAAAAAAAAAAATACATATATATATATATATATAAATCAGAAATATTTTATCCGTTCTAGAGCTAATTTAAGAGCACCTACAGGCAATATGCATATGAAAATCAGGACATGGTATAAAAAATGTAAAACAACAAAATCGAATCAGGAGAATTCTCTAACTGGTACATGGGTGGTGATTAATAAATATTTACTGGACAAGTAAACTTACAGCTTATAATGTGCATGTTGCAGAATCTACTAAAAGAATCTTTCAAAACAGATAAACTGAAGGATTCCAAGAAATACCATCATGTATTAAATTATAAACTCCTCTATATACATAATATATAAAACATATTTTTAAGTAGTCATTCAAGATACATTTTTTATTTCTAAGGAATACCTGTGAAAGTGTTCTGCAAACTCCAAATACCTTATACTGTTAATCTCAATATTATTTTTAATAAGATTCTTAGGCCAACTTAAAATTGGAAAAGAAATGATAAAATCAGGCTCAGAGGGAACATGGCCTCTGGCCATAACATTTATGTTTTATTTTTATTTTTTGTTCTTTTATACTTTTTATTTGGCCATAACTTTTGTACCATATTCCAAGAAATCTTTTTAGAAGGGAATTTGAAGACAAGGGATGAGCACCCTCACTCTCATTTCAATTAGATTAACTGCTTTTTTTAAAATATATTTTACCTACTGGGCTTTTGTAGAATTGTGCTTAAAATGTGAACAAGTTTTAAAATTCAAATACTAGTGGTTATAGAAAACATCTCTAAACCAACAGATAATATGGGTTTGAGTTCTAGCTCTGTCAATTTCTTCATTTAAAAAGCCAGAGGGGGAGCTCACCTATAATAGGTGATCTTGTAAATTTGTTTTAGCTCTAAAAAGTCCCTAACTTTCAACTAGGGTATCTCTCAACATATACCATATCAAAAAATTTTCAGAGTTAAGGGAAGAGTTTTAGAGATCACCTATCCCAACACATTCATTTTATAAATGTCCAACTCAACCTCACAGAAACAGTGATCAAATCCTCTGAAAACTAAGTTAACTATATGTATAGATACACAACCAGATCCAAAATACGATATTTTTCCTAGTAGTTTAAAAACTAATCATATCCGACCAGAAGATTTCTAGCCTAAAATTATGGTTATGTATGCACGTTTTCCACAATCCAGCTACTAGAATAACTTCACCAATTTAACTTTTTTGCCAAAAAGAGAAAAGGACTGTTAATGAAAATTTCTTTGAAAATATACTTGCTCATACCAGAGACTTTTTTTTGAGACAGGGTCTTGGTTTTGTTGCCCAGGCTGGAGCGCACTGGCATGTTCACGGCTCACTGCAGCCTTGACTTCCCAGGCTCAAGACATCCTCCCACCTCAGCCTCTTGAGTAGCTGGGACCACAGGGATGTGTCACCAAGCCTGGCTTTTTCTTTTCTTTTCTTTTCTTTTTTTTTTTTTTTTTTGCAAAGATGGGGTTTTGTCATGTCGTCCAGGCTGGTCTCGAACTCCTGGACTCAAGCAATCCTCCAAACTTGGTCTCCCAAAGTGCTGGGATTACAGGCGCGAACTACCACACCCAGCCACAGATTAGATTTTTACTTAATATGGTTTGAAAAAAATTCTTTATGCATGGGTTAAGTAGTACTCACAGGAGAAAAGAAGGGCTACTTACCCGTGATCCTTTTTCAGTGCTTCTACAATGCACAACAATTCAATAATCTGGGCTCTAAGTTCATCCAGGGAATTTTTTTTCACATCATCTGTTTCCACTTTAGCTTTGATTTCTAATGGAGTCAGGAAAGCAGTTGTATTTGCTTTAGAAGCACTGGAAGGTGTTGAAAGGTACACAGATGGCTGAAAACGTAAAAAAAAAATTTCTGATTTTATTTAATATTATATTTACGTTCGAAAGATTTTAACAGCAAGAAGAAAAACAATTAAGTACTTCAAGATAAGTGGCAAATTTGGAAATTCAAAAGCAATTTGATGTTCACAACTGGAAAAATCACCAGACAACTAAAGAATACATTTGTAATCATTAGTGGTTTTTGTAGAAAATGACAATTTTATTAACAGAAGAAAAAAGGAAGAAAGAAAAATCCATCAAATGTATATTATGGATGGTTTGCCTAGTGAAACAGGGGCAAGAATGTAACAGCATTATAAAGGTATTACTTTGATCTTTCATATTCAATACTTATTGTTTGGAATGTCCAAAGAGCTTCACTTAAAAGTAATTGTGAACAATTTAATAGGTCCAGGAAGAGTCACTAAAATGAGTCCATAGCCTGACACCCCTTAACTATTTCACTAAAAAAATAGAAAGTCACTTTAATAAAATTTCAATAGACTGCTGACAGCTGAGAGAATCAGATTAAGTGTATTTAATAAATTGGAAACGCTGACAAAAATGCCCTGAAATGAAATCAAGAAATAATTTGGGAGGAAACCTAAATGACCTTCTTAAATCTATGTCTCAGTTGTAGTGAAACTATGTTAAATAAAAATGGTAAAAATTTTGACAAGACACCTAACACATGTAACAGATGAAAGGATCCATGGACATACAGTATTCTGCCATTAATTCCAGTATATACTGAATGCTTAATTATTGTACTAAGCACCAAGCTAGGTAAGTACTATACAAGTGTTCATTCCTGACCTTAAGAATGTATGTTTAATGGAGAAACGAAATAGATGCAGAGATCTATGCCTTAAAAAATATGAAATATGTAATATTTATTTTATTCAATTAAAATGTAAGCTCTTTCAAAAACATTTGCAGAAAATAGTCTGATGAAGCTAAACAACTCAATTTTTTAGCAGCAATTATTTCATTTCTTGGCAGAAAAAATAATTCGTCCTAAAGAACACCTTAAATTCCCTATGTTTGATGTCCACAAAGAATCCCAGAAAGTCAACAAACCTTAGACCACAATGCACCTCACCTTTGGAGAGTAGCATGTATCTTTTTTTAATTCAGATGGCTTCAGGTTGGCACTGTCTTCTTCTTTTGGTAACTTCAAGATTTTTTCGGGGCTGTGAGTTGGCTAAATGATTTTTTAGAAGTCAAGAGACATAATAGACCAAAGAAAAGAAAAGGTAGTAAGTCTTTGGATAATAAAGCAAATAACTTTTATGGATTTTCAGCTGCTACTGTTGCTGATATCCCATTATTATTAATAGGATGCTATATACTTTCAAGCTGAATAACACATTTGCATATCTTGAGGGCAAAAACAGCTTGCCTCTTAGCAGTAAGGATTTTCTCCATTTAGGTAATTTTAAAAGTACTATAGTGTTTAAGAGCTAATACATTAACATTACAGTACCACCAGTACTCCAGGCAATGTAGAAAAAGCATACAAAGAAGTTAATACATTTAGACATGAGGACAAGTACTACAAAAACAATGAATATTTCACAACAATCATCAGAGAAATACAAATCAAAACTACGAGTTATTACCTCACCCCAATTAAAATGGTTTTTATCCAAAAGATAGGTAATAGCAAATACTGGCAAGGATATGGAGATAGGGAACCCTCGTACACTGTTGGGGGGAATGTAAATGAGTACAATCATTATGGAGAAAAATTTGGAAGTTCCTCAAAAAACTAAATATAGAGCTACCATCTGATCCAGCACTGCTAGGTATATACCAAAAAAAGGAAATCTGTATATCAAAGGGATATCTGCACTCCCATGTTTACTGTAGCACTATTCACAAGAATACAGCCAAGAATTGGAATCAACCTAAGTGTCCATCAACAGACAAATGGATAAAGAAAATGTGGTAACTATAGACAATGGACTACTATTCAGTCACAAAAAAGAATGAGATCCTGTCATTTGCAACATGGATGGAACTAGAGTTCATTATGTTAAGTGAACTAAACCTGGCACAGAAGAACAAACTTTGCATATTCTCACTATAAAAATTAAAACAACTGAACTAATGGAGATAGAGAACAGAAAGATGGTTATCAGAGGCTGGGAAGGGTGTTAGTGTGGTGGCGGTAGGGATGGGGGGATGGTTAATGAGTACAAAAAGTAGAAAGAATGAGTAAGACCTAGTATTTGGTAGCATCAGGGTAACTACTAGTCAAAAATAATTTAATTGTACACTTAAAAATAACTAAGAGTACAATTTAGATGGTTTGTAACACAAAAGATAAATTCATGACGTGATGGATACCGCATTTACCCTGATATAATTATTATGCATTTCATGCCTGTATCAAAATATCTCACATAACCCATAAATATACAAATCTATTATGTACCTGCTGAAGTTAATTTTAAAAATTTAGAAAAAAAGAAAAGAAAAAAAACACTGAATATTTCAGGGGAAAAAATTTTCTCAATCTTTCCTAAAGTGAGTATCTGCTGCTCAATTTTAATAACTGTTGTTGAAAGATAAATTAAACAGGTTCTTTCTTTGTCACCCTTTGACCCTGTGCTCTGTGGCTATAGCCTCATGATAATTTCCTTCTGATTCTGTAACCTTTCATTCCAGACCCTGTTGGAATGAACACACCTCTCTCCCTCTATCTCCTTAAATACCAGCATTTGCCACTTGAGTATAAGAGCTATCCTCCTGATTTTCAAACTTAGGTAGAGCTATAAGTCCTCTATCTTCCAATGGACTCTGCATTTGCTAAATATACTGTAGTTTACGACAATTAGATGAACTCACAGAATGTCCACCATTGAAACGGCCCGGCAACCTTCTTCCAGGCATCTTTGGTCTATTTGCAGTGAGATGAAGCAAGTTTTCTGAGGAAGCTATGTCATCAAAATTTACAACATCTAGAAAATAAAAATAAACATTATTTACTAAGAGAACTGTACCTTTTTAAAGGTAAAAAATAATGTTTCAGTTTTTGGACAAACTATAAATTAAAAAGAGTACCACTACTTTGAAGAACTCACAAATTGACCTGTGCTTTTCATATGCATTTGGAAAACAACACTCGCCCTTAAAAGAAAAAAAAAAATCCTCTTTACCTGATACATTTATATTAGTATATGACTTTATTAACACTATAAAGGTTGTTTCCAATAGAGACCTAGATCTCAACAAAAAGTACTTGGTGAAAAATAAATCTGTATCACAAACTGTAGTAGCATAAAAAACTCATCTTAAGTTCCTAACAAAGATCTACTTCTTAAACTCATAATAAATTAAAAGATCTCGGAAAATCAGCATGTAAAATTTGTTTTGAACTTCAAGAAGTAGAATATTCATATGTTAAGAATTAAACTTTATCTGGCACCCTGCCACTTTTGATTTGTGTTTCTCAATATAAAGCAAAAGCATGATTTAATGTACCTTTATGTGTATATATATGTGCACAGTATTAGGTGGGACTCAAACTGTTTATAGTTCACTGCACCTTTGTTTAGACATTATTGTGTTTAGTAATCATAAGACAGCTACAAATCTAAGGCAAATCAGATACCAAAAAAAAAAGAGAAAAAGCTACATGGATTACCAACTTACTTCCTCATCATCAAAGGCTGGCTGACCTCTGACCTGGTAACTTGGGTTTAAGGACAAATCTACTCTACAACAATGATATATAATACTTTGCCTTTTCCTAGATGATTCAGAAAGTCTTGCTAAAGGAAATTTCTTTAACTCTAAAGCCCAGATATCTATATATGAATCAAGAACCCAAAAGGTAAACTGCTACAGATACTTCCATTTTTAATATAACCTTCCTTTACCCCAGATTCCAAACTCAGAATATTAACCACAGCCAAAATGTTCTAACTAATAGCAGATTCCTTTGGTCTAATCGTCCAGATCTGTATTAATTCTTCACATTACCATCTGCCTAGATGTTTATAATACTTTCTGTCAGATATTTATATGTTCTAACTCAGTTATTTGTTTCTTTAAAAAGATCTAAAGATACTCATCATCACTGCCCACAAAACTTATTCATCAACTTATTTAGAAAATGCTTTTAAGGGATGGAGGACACAAAGGTAAGGCAGAAAAAAAGGCATCACTGTTCGGTAATATGCATTTTATAACAACTAGAATAATTTGCTGATAATTTTTTCTAGCAATTTCTTTGTGTGTTCTCACTTGTATCAACTAAGCTGATTCATTAAAACAGATACTCTAATATGCTTGATTTTTGTTTTGAGTCTTTTGATAATTGTAAATAATCATGAAATATAACAAACCATAATAATAAATGACAATGAAAAATGCATTATATAATCTGAAGGCGGTTGAATTTAAATATATGTTTAAATGTCATGTTATTTGTAAATATCACAAAGAAAGCAATCAGTATTTTTAAAAGATGTTAAAATATGTCGTAATTTGAAGGGTGAAAATTGCTTTTACACTGATGTGTGCATTAACAACCCACAAAGAAAAAACCTTAACAAGTACAATCCAATCATTTTAGCCTGTAGAGATTATTTTCAAATGCATATTTAAGCAACTTGCAGAAAGAAAAAGAAACAGAAAAACACAGGAAAAGACAAAGAAAAATGAAACTGAAAGGGTAAATAAAACATAGATTTACAAAATTATACACCATGCTCATGTAAAATGTCTTCTGTATGTCCAGTTTTGAACTATGACACCAAGACAAGTAACTTTACTATTCTAAAACTCTCTCAGGTTCTCCATTTAAGCCATTAGGTTAGTAAAATGGAACAGTGCACATTTTGGACTCATGACATATCTAAATGCTTTTAAATTTACCTAAGAGGGATAACAATGGATTTACACTGTACACGTGGCATAACAGGCACGACAATCATTTAGCTTTTGCAATCACATTGTCACTCTGCCAGCCACTTACAATCTGCACGTTGCTAGGAACACATAAAATTTTTAAAAAGCAAAATGAAATATCCAATTTGGAGAGAAAATAAACTGATTTTTATGGTTGCCAATTTTCTTAAAAAATATTATCAAAAGAATATTTTAAACGAATCAGGAAACTTTTCCAAAATGAATTTCATTGTATCTAAAAATGGAAAACCAAAAGGGTTAGAATAAATAGACAGACAGACATGTACACTTTCAGTAAAATTACAAAGAAAAATCAATGTGCACCACCTATTTATATTGAAAATACTATTTTGATTGCTTTATAAACTTTCATCTTACCAAAATGGAGAAGGGTAGAATAATTTCCTGACACGTAAGAAGGGAAACATGGCAAACAGGCTAGGAAACAAAATCTGGAAAGAAAAGTCAAGGATAGGAATGTCTAGAAAAAAGACTAAACCAAAATAATTATTTTACAAAACAGGAAAAAAGAACAGCTGTAGAATGAATAAAACCATTTCAATGTTTGGCATATAACTATTTGCAGGTTATCTAACTTACACAAGATGTATATTAGGTTTTAGGTTTATTCCTTTGTCTTTCAAAGGGAAAAATTAATATTAGTATTAATTTCAATATGCATTAAGCCAGAAAGTCCTGTTTTATTACTCACTGAACACCAAGACAGTTTCCAAAAGGATGGCTTGGTGCTTTAAGAGGCCAGAGTAATAAATCAGCATGTTGACATCTCATAATGTAGTTATAACTAAATCAACTTTTAGTCAAGTTTTAGTCTTTAGCCCATGATAGAAATTACAACGATGAAAAGCAATTTTAATTCTGTGGTATCAAAGAAGAAAAATATGTTAAATATTACTTTAAAATATCTCACTATAAAAATATGACTCAATACTATCTTTAAAATATTTCATACATAAATAAAAATTCACTAATGCCTTATATGGTACTTACAAGTCTTTAATATGGTATGATCAAGGAAACTATTAGAAACTAAATTTTTTTAAATTCTAGTTTAGATATAGGCTCACTTTTTATAGTATATGCTACTCAACAGGTACCTATTAGAAAAATTCCACCATAAATTATTTCTGGAAGAAATGAGAAATATTGGAAAAGTAATTTTTAAAAAATAGATCAACTACCAAATATCAAATAAACTTGAAGAAAAACAAATGTGTTTCCTTATTCAACAATGAATGCTTCCATCGAATAATGTGTTTCTTTAAAATTGCTTTTTTTTTGTTTATTTTTGAGACAGGGTCTCACTTTATCACCCAGGCTGGAGAGCAATGGCATGATCAAGGCTCACTACAACCTCCAACTCTCAGCTTTAAGAAACCCTCTCACCTCAGCCTCCCTCCCTAGTAGCTACACCATGGGACTACAGGTGCACACCATCATGCCCAGCTTTTTTTTTTTTTTCTGTAGAGACACGGTCTCACTATGTTACCCAGGCTAGTCTCACTATGCTGCCCAGGCTAGTCTCTAACTCCTGGATGCAAGCAATCTTCCTGCTTTGGCCTCCTAAAGTGCTGTGATCACAGGCATGAAATTGCCTTTTAATCATAGAAAATCTTATCACAGAAAAACAATACTACACTGTAAGGAAACTTCATCAGTTGGGCTTTCTTAATATAACAGCTATGTTACTATAAAATTTTCTATCTTACATTTTAAAACTAAGTTAAAGATAATTTTACTTTTCAGATAATGTATGATTTTAGAAATATGTGGACCACACAAGCTTTATTATTAATTAGTAGTGGCACTGAGATTTTCCTTAAACCAATTTTTGAGGAAGTGTTTGTAATAGAGAAAAAAAATTGTAAGCATGGTTCTTAACAGCTCTGATATTTATAAAACTACATTATATATGAGAATATATATGAAGAAGCTAAAAAGTTATGTCATGTCATTAAAAAAAGAAAATCTGAGTGTTCTGTATATGTCTTTCTTACATGTACAAAAGTCAGTCTGCATTTATATACATAGTTTATATATACACATAAACGTTTACATATGACTTTATAAATAAGAAAATCATATCTGTGAACAAAGTCAGGGATTTATATCCTTTATAGATTAGAACAAAAACAAAATGGGATGGGTTTAAAACAATGGAGGAGGGAGGAAAGAAGGAAAAATAACATTTGTAATAACTTCCATGTCAGGTATTCCAGCAGACATATACATGTACTAAATCATTCCATTGTTAGTTAAGGGAAAAAACATTAAGAAACTTACTATCAGCAATCAACTAGTAAATAAAACCCCTTTTATTAACAGCAAAGTCAGTGTACTTTCTATTATTTAACCTCAAATTATTACGTTGCCTAATAATGAAATTTTCAATAAGTTTTTCATGTATGTTTTCAACTTTCTAAAACATATTAAAAAGGCTAGTTTCACACATTATATTTGAGGCTGTATTTGAGCCAAAATACTTTTTTTGAAGTATTAACATCACAGAAGAGGTAGAACACTTTTATATTACTAATACTAGGAACATATGATCGTCTAATTTAAAAAGGTAGCAGGAATCTCTGAATTAATGCTTACGACATACACTACTGACTTCCATCAATTATGCCTTTTATCTTAGCATGCAACTGTGCCTAAAACACGACTGAGGATATAAAACCTGCTCAGTGAATAATCTGACAGTTAACATGAACTAAATTCCCAACATCTGTATTTTCTGAACTTTACAGGGCCTAAGTATAGTACACCAAAGGTAGTATAATTAAGTGGAAGGAATAAAGAACAGCAGCCTGAAAGTAGCTGTTAGTTTTCTGACTTGGCTAAGTCTCAGCATCTCTAGATTATTTCCTTATTTATTGAAAGAAAAGAACAAATCAGAAATAAGATGTTTTCACACCCTGTTCCACAAAGTCTCTGTTTACTATATAGGGAGTAAATAACAGCTATGTATAAAAGATAGAAATAGGGTCCCCCAAACCAAGTAAAAACAGAACTTTCCAATCATCAATAGTTTGAAATTATTACATATATTATTTTTACTAGAAATATGGCAGTGTGTTGTGACACTATATAGGAAAAGTTTCGAAAAAAAGAAAATGTTGTAATTTACCTAAATTTTAAAAAAAATTCCATTACTTTGACATAAACTAAGTAAAACATTCAAGATGAATACAAAGCAAGATGTGGATTCCAGATTTTACTCCTTCAATTCCCAAAGGGACTCCATCAACATTTAAAGACTTATGTGATAAAGATCCCCCAAATTTGTGAAAATTTAAAATATAGTTGCAATAACTTTTTTGTTTCCAGAGTTAAAATTGGGCAAATAATCTGCTTTTCTTCAACTATAACCTATGAAACACATTTCTAGCTATATTTTAAATCAAACAGAAAACAATATGAACTGATCAAATTCTATTTACTGATAAGCTCAATAAAAAAGAATGATTTTTTAAAACATGAGGATTCTTTTTCTGTTTATCAAACAATTAATAAGGATAATTTTCACCATATAAAACATACCGAATAAATTTCAATGAGTTTCTCTAAAATACAATCAACATTTCAATTCCCAGAAATTAGTAGTAAATATAGCTTCATCCATAACAAGGGGAATCCAACTCTGACAAAAGGATCTATAAGATGTTCAAATAAAAAGACTGAAAGGAGGCCACACTTTAAGTCAGAAACTTTGCATTCGCAAACTGAAAGAGGGAAGAATAAGGTCACCTGAAAAACCCTGAAATGTAATAGCATATTTTATAATAAGGTAATAAAAAACATCTAAGTGTAACTGCCCTTGAACTTTAAATGTAAACATGAAATGTGAACAATGAAGCTAGAAAAATTAGAATATTAAGATTTCTTAAAAGAATATCACAGTAAAAATGAAAATTTAGAGTTCTCCTTTGATTTATGTGATAGTGCTTATTTAATGTGTCTGTAGCTTACTTTGTTTAGACACCAAATAGGAAAAAAAAGCATCTGCTTCCTAGAGTTAAACTAAGAACATACATGAGAAAGTGCTTTGAAAAAGTCAAAAAAACTAAACACAAATGCAAAAAGCACTACACAAAATATTAACAATTACCAGAAAGTAATGAAGGCACAATGCCTTTAATAATGAAAACTATCAAGAGTTCTCCGTTTCAAGTTTTACATTTTACAAATAATAATAGGTATTAAAAAAAAAACAGGAAGTACAGATTAGACAAAGATATCAGTAAGCTGAAAAACCAGTCCTAAAGCTTAAAAAAAAATTAGCAAAAGGGTTAGAAAAAGCATATTTTCCTCCACTGGAAATAAAAGTATCTCTAGATTAAGAGGAGAAATTTAAAGTCCTATGAAATATAATCTAATGCTGGCACTGAAAGTCTATGTCATCTCATTTTTAAACTTTTAAAACTAAAGTGTATTCATATCTCCGTTGGGTAGTACAGTCATTCCACTATAAAGAGGGAGTAATAGATGGGTCATCTTTTAACATCTATTTCAGTCCTCTGATCAGTAAGAAACCATAAAGTCTGATCAGTAAGGACCATAAAAATTTTACTTATCTTCTTTTATTATTTCTACTTTGGCTGCTAAATTTTAAACAAATTTCAACTGTGTAATTTCAACTTTATCCAACTTTATCCACACACAAATTGCATAAATATATCTCTTAAAGAGTTTCTTTGACAATTTTTTTTTTTAAATGCACCACCGCTGTCCATGCTGACTTACCTGTTTCTTTGGAGGTCCTTACTGTAAGTGAATCAAAGTCTACTGATTTTGGTCTAAGGGGCAGCTGTTCAGAATCTAGCTTTAGTTTTGATACTGGCTCAGTTTCAAATTTTGATGAAATGCTAGAAACTTCCCCATTAATCCTGAAATAAGAAAAAAACACGCAAAAATCACTAGTATGAAACACGACTTTTTTTTAAATTGTGATTTAATGACATTAAAGATTGTATGGCCTAATACCGATTACTTTCTGTTCTGTAAAACCATTTCCATAAACGCAAAACTCTCTCCTAAGGCTGATCACAATAAAATAAAAAATGTGAGAACAGTTTAGTTAAGTGTAGAAAATTATTATAACATAAAATTAACATTCAACAGATATTAGTATACAGAAAATATTAAAAATAATACTTAAAAATTAAATTGCAACAATAGAAGGACAACTCTGGAAGGTAAGCAACAGTGAGAGCTAAATCAAAATGTACAGAATGCTCCTGTATTTTTTTTTAAATTTTTTTTATTATTTTAGATTATTTTTTATTTCAACAGGTTTTTGAGAAACAGGTGGCATTTGGTTACATGAATAAGCTCTTTAGTGGTGATTTCTAAGATTCTGGTGCACCCACCACCCGAGCAGTGCACACTGTACCCAATGTGCAGTCTTTTATCCTTCACTCCCCTCCCACCCTTTCCCCTCAAGTCTCCAAAGTCCACTGTATCATTCTCATGCTTTTGTGTCCTCACAGCTTAGCTCCCACATATTAGGGAGAACGTACAATGTTTGATTTTCCATTCCTAAGTTACTTCACTTGAATAAGAGTCTCCAATTCCATCCAGGTTGCTGTGAATGCCATTTTTTCCATCTTTTTTACGGCTGAGTAGTATTCCATGGTATATATATATACCACAATTTCTTTATTCACTCGTTGATTCATGGGCATCTGGGCTGGTTCCATACTTTGCAATTGCGAATTGTGCTGCTATAAACATGCATGTGCAAGTTATCTTTTTCATATAATAACTTATTTTCCTCTGGGTAGATACCCAGTAGTGGGATTGCTGGATCAAATGGTAGATCTGCTTTTAGTTCTTTAAGGAATCTCCACACTGCTTTCCATAGTGGTTCTACTAGTTTACATTCCCACCAGCAGTGTACAAGTGTTCCCTTTTCACTGCATCCATGCTAACATCTATTATTTTTTGATTTTTTGATTTATGGCCATTCTTGCAGAAGTGAGGTGGTATCACATTGCGGTTTTGATTTGTATTCCCTGGTAACTAGTGACTTTGAGCATTTTTCCATATGCTTGTTGGCCATTTGTATATCTTCTTTTGAGAACTGTCTATTCATGTACTTAGTCCAGTTTCTGATGGGATTGTTTCTTTCTTGCTTTTAAAGTTTATTGGTGATGTTTTAAAAAGGGCTGTGACTTAGGAAGGCTGTGGCAGGAGACTAAATGGGCTGCCATTCCTTGACTACTGCTGCATGTGGTAAGAAGAGACACCACTGGGTCCCTTCACTGTCCTGGGTGGGTGGGGCCCACTGCACCCTGGAGTCCTCCTTTGAAAGAGGAAATCTTTCCAGGATTATCACCCAGGCCAACTTTATTCCAGACAGCCATCTCTGCAGCCTCGACAGTCCCAAACTCCACGACACCAGTACCTGCCTTCTTACTCAAAAGCACCAGGTTGAGAATTCCACCATACTTTTGCAAAAGCCACAGGAGGACACCTTTGGAGTAACTGCCTTCTGACTCATCCTTCTTGTACTTCCATTTCAGTTTTAGTTTTGGGTTCCTTTGTCTTCAGTATTTTCTGACTTCTAATCTCAAGTCAAGTTCCTGGCACATCTGCTCCTGGATCATCATCTGCTGTTCCTCCAGCTGCCATGAACACTATTCACTAAGATGTTCAATCTCCTGCTCAAGTGTCCTGGTGCTCTAGCTTTCCTCCACCTTCTCACTCACCTGGGCCTGGGCCTCAGGTCATGATTAGCTTTTTTTATTCTCTCATCAAGCCTCTGGGTCCTCTATGCTGTCTGCTTCTTGGCTTTTCTAACATCATCATATGCAGCCCTGGCTGCAGCAAGGCCTGAGAAAGCTAGTGGAGGAGTTCAGCTGCTCTGTGATTATCCAACTTGTCTGGGTGGCAGGAGAGGGCCTTCTACCTATAAGCCTCCTTCACCTCTTCGTCTGCTGCTTTCTCCATGATGCCTAGCAGCACAAACAGGTCCATCTCTAAGAGCCCTTGGTTTGCCATGGTTCCAACCCTGACTGGATTTGTACTATAATTCCCCCAAGTGTTTTAAGCATGCATGAGGACTGTTGGCACAGCCAACAGAATAGTGCTTAGCACCCTGGGAATTTACTGATGCATTTTAATAACCAAAGCTCCAATAAAATTCCCAGAACCTGCCTGTGATCTTTGTTTACATATCCAGCTTTCAACATGTTTATATTCTTCTTGGATGTTATTTACAACATTAAAATAAACTTTAACTTTTCAAAAAGATAAAAGATAATAAGTGTTGGTGAGCATCTTAAGGAAAGGGAACCCTTGCACACTGCTGGTAGGAATGTAAATTCCCACAGCCATTATGGAAAACAGTACAAAGGTCCCTCGAGAAATTAAAAAGATAATTATCATATGATCTAGCAATTCCATTACTGGGTCCATATCCAAAGGAAATAAAATCAATATGTCAAAGAAATATATGCATTCCCATGTTTACTACAGCACTATTCACAACAGCCAAAATATGGAAGCAACCTAAAGTATCAATGGATGAATGAATAAAGAAAATGTGGCATATATACACAAAGAATACCATTCAGCCATAAAAAAAGAAAGCAAGCCTGCCATTTGCAACATCATCGACGAATCTGGAGGATGTTAAGTCAAATAAGCCAGGCACAGAAAGACAAATACCACATGTTCTCCACTCAAATGTGAAGTCTAAAAAAGTTGATCCCATAGAAATAGAGTAGAATGGTGATTACCAGAGCCTGAAGTGGTTGTGAGTTGGAGGGGAGTGGGAAGATGTGGTCAAGGAATACATACGGTTAGATAGAGGGAATAAGTTTTAAGAAATCCATTGTACATTTTAGTGACTGCAGTTAATGTGATGTACCGCATTCTTTAAAAATGCTAAGAGTGAATGTTAAGTGTTCTCATCATAAAAATGTTAACTATGTGAGGTTATCACAGTTACCGAAGCCATTCCACAATGAATTATATATACGCTTTAAAACATCATGTTGTATACAATAAATACACACAATTGTATATGTCAATTTTAAAAATAAATATAACTGAAAAATAAGAAAAAACATACCTGGAGATTTAGAAAGGCAATAGAGCCATTAAGGTCAAAGGTGAGTAAATCAGTAAGCTAATTTAAAATTAGGTAAAACTTACTTGGCTATAGGAGGTGGTGGAGGAACTGGTTTTTCAGGTCGCTTTGGGTACACTGTTCCAGAAGATCTCAGTAAATTACTGGCTTTGGTAGGTGGAGTAGGTTTCTTGGGTGGGACTTGTGGAGCTGCTGGTTTAGAAGGTTTCTGTTCCAGTGTTGATTTTTCATCTAAGATTTAAAATATTTCACAAGTTATTAACAATCAAAATTATTTAGGTTTTTCTATTTCCAAAAGTTTGTATCAGGCTGGAAAAGTGTGACAGAGGCAGACATGAACTTTCATTCTCTGTATTTGTATACATGTGCACTGTTTTACTTATTTTAAAGTTATATTTTAATTTAATAATCCTAAATAACTTTAAAAAATGTTTATTATGGTAGAGAGGAAAACCACTAATAAGCTTCCGATTAGTAGATAATGCCTGCTTTTTATTATGTTCCCAGGAAGCTTTGCTTTTAAGTGTAGTAGTCTATCTCAAATACAACCACACATGATTTTACTCTAACCAGAAAATTATCTAGACTTAAATCCAGACTATTTTCTGAAACTGAAATATAGAGAACTAAAAACAAGTAGAAACTCAAGTCCTATATAACATTCAAATTTAAAAAGCATGATGGTGAAGGAAAAAAAAATCAAATGTTAAGAGAAACTAGGGCAAGACTGCTTAGCCACAGACGAGAGAATTATAGGCTTATATTTGTAATTCTTAGTACTGCACTAAGAATTTTATTAATACCATTTCATTTAATAATGCAATGAAATGGGTATTTCCATTTGAAGTAGAAGAAAATAAGCTGGAAAAAAACAATTTTGACAATTTTATACTATGTCAATAAAGACAATTTTATCACCAAAAAGGCAACAAGTACTCTTTTATTACACATGACATACCTGCTTCCTGATCTTTCAGGTGCTCATAAATAGGTATTAAAATTGACACATGCATACATGAGATAGTCATAATACAGCAGTCAGCTAAAATGTGTCTTAAGACGTATATACAAAAATAAGAAGCTCCTAAGCACCATACTGAATAATTTTCAAAATTTATTTGGTCTTTGAAAAAAATGTCTATCACAAGACCACAAATAATTCTGTAAGATTTCATATCAACCAGAAACTGGTGATTATAAAACCTGAACATCGTAGCACATAGCTAAACCTCTTCCTTTTAAAAATTACAAGTCTTATTTCACAATGAATACAAAATACTATTTTCTCACTTTTACCACTTATTTAATACTTTGAATCATATGAAAATATAGCTTAGTCTATAAAATTCTGGTCATCATTTGGTACAAAAATCTATTTTTATATGGCCTCAAGATGTAACAATGTACTATATATAATTATACCACCAGGAATTTGTAAAAAACCAAACTCTCCAATTGAAATCAATAACGAAATAAAGCTATTTGTAGTTATAACAACCAGCCAAACTTAAATTTCTAGAAATTAAGAGATGTTTTATATAACATACCAAGAAAAATGGTCAAAGGATATAAATTAAAGAGAAGTTCACTGATTGAATATATTTATTTTAACAGAATACACAAATAACAGCTTGAAATTCTGTAGTGTTAGTCTAAAAAAAAGAATACATGGAAATCAAAAGGTAACAAAAATACGACTCATCATTCCTGGTTATGTCCATAACTAAATCAACTATAAGGTACTGACTTATTATATAACTACTATAAGATGGCAACATATTTATGTACTAGATTTTATTTTTTTAGTTGAGGTGACATTTACATAACACAAAATTAAAAATTCTAAAATGAACAATTCAGTGCCATTTAGTACATTCACGATGTTACGCAACCACCACCTTTATCTACTTCTAAAACACTTCCAACACCCCAGAAGATAACCCTTTCCTCATTAATTAGTTAACCCCTGGCAAACAGCAACCTGCCTTCTATCTTCTATGGATTTACCCATTTTGGATACTTCATACACATGGAATCATGCAATTATCTTTGTGTCTGGCTTCTTTCGCTTAGCCCAATGTTTTAGCAGTTTAGCCTCTTCATAACATATAGCAGTATTTCATTCCTTTTTGTGACTGAATAATATTCCATTAAACATACACACACACATATATAAAACACAATCTGTTTACCCATTGAGGATTCCTTCTACCTTTTGCCTACTGTAAATAGTGCTGCTATGAATATTTACATACAATACACGAGAGTCTGTTGTCAATTCTCTTGGACGTTTGGAACTGCTGGGTCATATGGTAATTCCATGTTTAACTTTCTGAAGAACCACCTAACTGCTTTTCATAGTAGCTAAAACATTTTCTATTTGCACCAGTAATGTATAAAAGTCCAATTTCTCCACATCCTTGCAAACATTTATTACTTATTTTCCTTTCTTAAAAAAATTTTTAACCATCTCAGTGGGTGTGAAGTGGTGCTCGCTGTGGTTTTGATTTGCATTTCCCTAAAGACTAATGATATTAAACATCTTGTCAAGTGCTTACTGACATGATTAATGATGTTAAACATCTTTTCAAGTGCTTATATAACAAGCATGCTTATAAACATGCTTGTTATAAAAAACAAAACTTATATATCTCCTTTAGATAAATACCTATTTCAGCCTGTGCTGCAGTTTTAAACAGGTTTGTCTTTTTGTTGTTAAGTTGTAACAGTCCTTTACATATTCCAGATACTTGCAAATCTCATAAGATTTCTCCCATTTTGTAAGTTGTCTTTTTACTTTCTTAATGTCCTTTAATGCATATAAGTTTTTAATTTTGATAAAGTACAATTATTTTTTCTTTGGTTAAATATGCTTTTTGTGACATAGTCTAAAAAGAACAAAATACTTTTCTCTAGATTCATAACACTCTGAGACACCAAATGTGTGGGGATTTATTCCCACAACAACCAATTATCTGGCACCAGCTGAGTGTCCTATAATTTAATTCAATTCTGACACTGTCTTTCTGGGGTTAGCATCAGATCCCACAAGTTAAAGGCTCAGACCCACAAGACTGCTCCCACTTCAGATTCCAATCTCAAGTCCTGTCCTCTCGTACTTCTGATCAATTGGCTATAAATTGGGGATTCCCATGATCACTCCTTGGGTTTGATAACTTGTTAGAAGAGCTCACAGAACTCAGGAAGGCACTTTACTCACTGTTAACAGTTTATTATAAAGGATACAGCTCAGAACAGCCAAATGGAACACATGCAAAAGGCAAGGTATGCAGGAAGAGATGCAGAGTTTCCGTAACTTCTCCAGGTGTACCACCTTCCTATCCCCTCAATGTGTTCACAAACCCATGAGCTCTCTAAACTCTGTTGTTTAGGGTTTTTAATGAAAGCTAAACATTTGGTTGGTTCCCCTGGCAACAAGGCCCCTCCCCATCCTTAGGGACTTTACAAAAGCCTCCTCATTAATATAAACTCAGACGTGGTTGAAAGATGCTTGTTATAAATAACAAAAGATGTTCCTCTCACCTTTATCACTCAGGAAATTTCAAGGGTTTTAGGAGCTATGGTGCCAGGAACCAGGGACAAATATTAAATGCACATTCCTTATTAGATCACAATATCACACGTATCTAAAAACCTATTGCCAAATCCAAGGCCATGAAGATTTACTCTTGTTTTCATCTAAGAGTTTTAACTCTTATATTTAAGGTCAATGATCCATTTTCAGTTACTTTTTGCTTACAGTGTGGGGTAGGGCTCCAACTTCATTCTTTTGAGAACATCCAGCTGTGAGTACTAGAATGTTAGTTCAGCTAAAAATTTGCCAAATCCAAGAGAAAATGTAGATTTAAGGAGAAAAAAAAAAGTTCTATGTTAGCTGCCTGAATGACCAAGGAAGAATTACATAAGGTACAGATATTATGATAATTTAAGACACAGGCTGGGTGCAGTGGCTCATGCCTTTAACCCAAACACTTTGGGAGGCTGAGATGGGGGCATCGCTTGAAGCCAGGAGTTCATGACAAGCCTGGGCAACAAATCAATACCCCCATATCTATAAAAGAAAAAAATAAATTAAAAAATTAGCCAGTTATGGTGACATGTACCTTTAGTCCCAGCTACTCTGGAGGCCGAGGTGAGAGAATCACCTGAGCCTAGGAGTTTGAGGTTGCAGTGGGCTATGACATCACTGCACTCCAGCCTGGGCAACAGAGTGAGACCCTGTCTCCAAGAAAGAAAATGAAATACAGAAAAGAGTTATCTCAGGTATATAATTTTTTTAACAAAAATGTCTAAAATGTATGCTAACAAAATACAACAAAATAACCAAAATATGTCCTTTTATTTGCTTCAGAATATAGCAATACATTACCAACACTGTACGTAATAAGTTAACCCATTTATTAATTCAGATGAGGGTCAATGTCCTACTGCATTAATTGAAATGGAAAAATAAGTGATAATATGGGCACCAAAACAGGAGTGATTCCAAGTGCATAAATTCTAATTTAAAAAAATCAAATATTCTATTCTTTGTGATCACTTGGAGATGCCTTAGAGAAAAAATGTACTACCTAAAAAGTAGTGAGTCTATTCTTAATTGAACCTATTTTCCTAACATTTTAGAAAATTTTAGGACAAAATATATTTATTCGTATTTATCTCACTGAAGTTTAAACTGCAGCATAACATTTTCAGAAATGGTAAGTATAAAGTTTGAGAAACTATTACCACATGAACATACCAGAGTAACCACCACATAGGCCAAGAACTGAACATGATCCACATCTCTGAAGTTACCCTTATCCTTCTTCCCAATCACTACCCCACCTGCTTCCACCCAAGCTGTCTTCTAACACCACAGATTATTTATGAATATTTTTAACTTTATGTCAACGAAATCCTAAGATTCATTTTGCTGTGTGTAGCTCTCGTTCATTTATTTGTTGCTACGTGGTAACATGGTATGTGAATATACCTCAACTCTTTTACCCATTCTTTTGCTGTTGAACATTTGTGCTGTTTCCAATGGCAACTTTGTTATAAATTTATAAACTTTGTTATAAATTGCACTGAATGTGCAGATTGCTTTGGGTAGTATGGAAGTTTTAACAATATTGATTCTTCCAATCCTTAAACATGGAATATTTTTCCATTTTTTTGTGTGTCTTCTTCAATTCCTTGCCTCAATGTTTTCTTTGCATATATCCAGGTTGGATTCCATAGTATTCTTGGTTTTGTGGCCTGATGCTTTTAATCACTTTTAGAAAATTGAAAAACATTGTATCTTCAAATACAGTTTCTGCTCCATTTTTTTCTCCCTCCTATCTGGTCCTCCAATTACATGTACATAAGACCTTCCCACTGTACAGTCATCCCTCTGTATATACAGAGGATTGGTGCTAAGATCCTCACGTATACCAAAAGCACACATACTCAAACCCGATGGTGAGCACTGTGGAACGTGCCTGCACAAAAGTTGGCTCTCCTCATATGCGGTTTTGTATTCTCACAAATACTGTATTTTTATTCCCCATTAGGCTGAAAAAAATCTGTGTATACGTGGACCCCATATAGTTCAAACTCATGTTGTTCAAGAGTCAACCATATTCTTTATGTCTCTTAAGGTCTTTTCCATATTTTCTATCTTTTTTGTCTCCTTATGTTTCAGTTCAGATATTTTCTTTTAAAAATATACACACATATATTAACATTTGTGTGTATATATTTATATATACTTATATATGTAAACAAATTCATTTAAGCTTAGACTGACTCATATTCATATATACTTACAAGGTTCTAGTTCTGTCAAAATTATCAACCCCATCTTTTATTACTTCTAACATTTATTAAGCACAGTTACTTTAAAGCTTATATCTAGTATCTCTAATATCTAGATCCCCTAAAGGCCAGGTTCCATTGTCTGTTGTTCTTGGTTTCTAGCCATGTGTCATATCTATCAGTATGCCTAATTATCTCTGAATGAGTACAAGACACAAAAGATTTACAGGAAAACATAGAGATAATTTAAAACTCTAGATGATGTCTTCTTCTCTAGACAATGAAGGTTTACTTTCATTCTTTCAGTAAGCTAAGGTAGGGATAGTAAAAATCCCAGGTCACCTTCCTCCCATCAAGAATTGAGATTATTAGAAGTTGAACTTCAGTGTTCCTCAGAGTTAGGTCTATTTCCATTTCATACTTCCTCCAACAGTAAATCCCTTTAGGAACTAAATCAAAACCTAGTTCACTAGGATACCTCCTCTTTCATGAGCTTTGAACTCTAATTTTTGTCTCCTTGAGCCCAAAAGTCTATCGAAAGTTCTTTTCATAGGCTAAGCTACCACTTTCAAGATTGGCAAATGCTCCAACAGGAAATATGAGCCCCAATGCCAGACTTTACTGGGCTCTCCTCTTCCCCTCTATCTTGATCTTATGATTCTTCATTTTATTTGTAGCTCTCCTACTTCTAGCAGATGACTCTGACAAATATATATATATATATGTGTGTGTGTGTGTATATATATGTGTACATATGTGTATATATGTGTGTACATACGTATGTGTATATATATGTGCACATACATATGTGTATATGTGTGTGTATATATGTATATATATTTGTGTGTGTGTATGTGTGTATATTTGTGTATATATATGTGTGTGTATATACATTTGTGTGTGTGTGTGTATATTCAAGAGTTCCTGGTCATCAAACAACTTCTTAAATGTATATATCCTGAGAAAGCTCTCTTCGCATTCTTACGCTAAGCAATCTTCTTGGACAATCTTACCCATACCTGTAAATTTAATACCTAACTTCCAGAATAGCACCTTCCAACTAAACACTTAATACAAACTCTTAGTAAAAGTTCAGCCAATATTTCGTATCAAATCCCATGTCAAAAGCTGAATTCACATGGTTTCCTCCAGAAACTGTCTCTATTCCATACTTCCTATCTCATTTCCCCATCGTCATAATCATTAGTATCTCATTAGTCAACAAGATGTCAAAGTAGAACCTAAATTGCATTCCTTATGATAGATCCTAAATATATCTCAAAGTCTTCAGCAGACAATGCAGTTGAGTCCTCCCAAATCAATCCTACTTTCATATGATTACACTGAGACAATCAGTAAATAGTATTCTTCTTATAAGTTTCATTGGTCTAGAGGTAAATGTGCTCAAAAGTGGTCCAAGAAACTGAAAGGACTTACATTCTATGGTTGGGGAGAGGTTTTCCTCTCTTTTCTGTCAAATGGACAAGAAATCATGTCGCCCTGATTGCCACTCTCAGCATTCTTGTGATCACAAGAGGAGACAGTCTGAAGATAAAGTGTACACTGAGGATGGCAGAATGGAAAGATATAATTCAGGTCCATAACAGAATCACTGAGTGGCAGGTCATATGACTCCTACTTCTAGACTTTCAATTATGTGAGATGTTTTCCCTATTGTTTAAGTCAGTTTCAATAAGGATTTTCTGTTCTTTGCTCTTGAAACACTTCAGCTTCCTTTTACCCATACCACCTTCCACTATCCACACCACCATTATCTAGCTAAATACCACTAGAAGGAAGTTTCAGAAAAACAAATGTAAACACGTCATAATCTGGAATCCTTCAGATTTTAAAGAATCCTTCATATTATATAATAAGTACTGCATTAAGTATTCCCTATGTATTATATACCTATTGTGTAACGCATTAGAGAACCAATGGCAAGTAAGGTACAGGTATCTATACACACACCTTTTCCCTCATGGAGTTTAACCAAGTGCAGGGTAAAGAATATCCCAAAACAAACATCTAAACTAATATGTAACAGACAATAATGAGAAATACCTACTTTTAAATAGTGTAGGTAAGGAAAATACTGTCAAGGAAGCAAAATTTTAAGCTGGAATCTAAAAGATGAGAAAAACCTGGCCATGAAAGATTCTGAGAGAAGTACAATTCCAGAGAAAGAAGGATGTCCCCTAAAAAAGTATGTATTTTAGACAGAAAGTATGAAATGCAAACAGATGGAACTGCAAACACACGGAAAGCAATAAATGTAAATAAATCCATCCACTGACTGGGAATCAGAAGTATACAAATGGTGGCTGAAGCCATGAGCCTACAATAATAGAATTCAGAAGGAAATGCTCCTAAAGCAAAAGTGAGCAGATTCACTGCTTCTACCAGTGAAAGTATAGAACCAGACTGGCCTTCAGCACCATTTTATGCTCTTTCTGTGGGTATGACTGTGTATGTGTGTATAGGAAGTGAGGAGGACATAAGATAAAAGTTACCATTTTAGTGATTTTATAAGAAACAGCACCTTTGTTACATTCTCTTCTACACATTTACATGCCTCCCTACTTGCATTCCAAAATAATTATGAGTTCCTCCCTTTGTATCATGAATTTCATACCAATGACATGATGAGTATCTTACTGAAAGATAAATACAAAAAAGGACATCTCAAAAAGCAGGATAACTTGTGCTTCAAAGTGGTAATATTATTACCATTCTGGGACACAGCTTGCCAGGATTTTAGGTACTTCTGGGAAAATGAAAACAACAGAGGGGCAGAGAACTGCTAAGCAGGTTTGAGAAAATCCACGTGGTGGCTTGGGACAGAAAGTAGAAAGTGAGAGTTTAATCACCTATCTAAACATTTGAGAAAATATCCCATGAAATAACGGGGAATCACTTAAGAGTCCAAAATAGAGGGGTGATCAGTTTCATGGTTTCTAAGTAGCTCTTTTCTGCGCCCCACATCTCTGACAGAACAGAGCTTTTCGAAGGATACCTTCCATGGAACCTAAGATCATGAGATAAAAACCATGAACACAAATACAAATGAAAAATGCTTTATTTCCTTGGTGGAAGGCTTAAGACGCTTCAAATTGGTCCTAGCCATGATTTGAAAATGCTCCCTCTCTCAACTATGGGAACAAGGGTAGAACTTTGATTTATGTTTACTGTTACTTAGTAAAAAATAATTTAACAATATTTAATATTCAACTGGCCCTCTCTGAATGCATGTGTCCAAAGGTCACTGGCAAAACACTGACATTTTTCTTATTCATGGTACCTGATCTATTAAAGGCATATCAGGTGTATGAGAACATTCTGAAAATACTTAGAATCATTTCCTTTGTTATGCCTTCTCTTGTTTAACCTATATACAAAAAAATTCTCATATCTACCCTAAAACTCCAAAACCAACACTTTATATTAAGTTTTCAAGTCATTCCAGTGAACAGTTCTTGTGAGATTTTTAAATGGAGGGAAAATGTCTTCTATATCTATTCACATATTTACTACTTCTGGCATTCTTCATTGCTTTGAGTAATACCAACTGCCAATCTAGTATCGTTTTCCTTCTACCAAAAGTAATTTTTTAACATTTTCTGTAATACAGTTCTACTGGCAATAAGTTCTCTGAGATTTTGTCTCAAAAGGTTTTAATTTTGACCCATTCCCAAAAGGTATTTTTGTTAGGTAGAAAACTATAGGTTGACAGTTATTTTCTTCCTGGCTTTAAGCTTTTTGTCATAAATTTGCATCAAATTAAAATTTTCAGCCATTATTTCTTTAAGTTTTTTCATGTCCCCATTCTCTCACCTTTCCATTAGGTACCCCAATTACAGGTAAGTAAAACCACTTGATATTGTCACTCAGGTAACCAATATTCTGTTCACTTTTTTTCTATACATTTTTAATGGTTCTATTTGCTATGTCTTCAAGTTCACTAACATTTTCTTCTGCAGTTTCCACTCTACTGGACATTCCATTCAGTGTTTCTCATTTCAGATACTGTATTATTCTTTTCTAAAGGTTCAATTTGGGTCTTTCTTATATTTTCCAGTTTTTGCACTGTAATGTTCACATTTTCTTCTACCTTTTTAAACACATGGGAAACGTTTATCATAGCTGTTTTAATGTACTTGCCTTCTATCTCCACCATCTCTGTCATTTCTTGCTCTTTTCTGCTGACTGATTTTTCTTCCCTGGTTGTGTATTGCTATTTTCTTGCTCTTTCTATGCCTGGCAATCTTTAATCAGACAATGGACGCCGTGATTTTTACTCTCTTGAATACAAAATTTCATTATATGCTTTTAAGTTGTACCAAATTTTATTCTGGAATTTGTTGGCCGTATTTCCAAGATAGAGGCAGAGAAACCTTTAGTCTAAGGTGATACACTGTTTTATGAACTCTATCCAATGTGCTATATATTATGAGATCTTTCTACTCTGGCTCATGGAAAAATGAACTGTTTGTGAGTTACAAAGAGTGCTTCACCTATTGCTTTCCAATGGTTATTTCTCCATTATGGAAATTTCTTTTCATGCATGTGTAGATCAATATTCAGGCAAAGCCTCACAGTAAGCTGTCTACAGATCTGAGTACTCGCTGTGCAGTTCCCACCACTCTGGCACTCTGCCCCACAAATTGTAGCTGCCCGGGCCTTCCTAAATACCTATCTCTGCATCCTCAACTCTGTAGGACATCGAGGTCTGTTTGGCTTCCTCCTTTCTGCTGCCTGTAAACTGCTTCTAGACAATAAGCTGTGGTAATTATAGGTCTCACTTCAGTGTCACAGTGACTTATACTGTCTGATGTCCGATATGTGAAAGCCACTGTTTCATACATTTTGTCCAATTTTCCAGTTGTTTAACTCAGGAGTGTAAATTCGGTCCCTGTCATTCCACCATGGGCAGGATTTTGCATAGATAAAAGTAACAAAAATGCATCACCTTCCTTTTTTTTTTTTTGAGACGGAGTCTTGCTCTGTCGCCCACGCTGGAGTGCAGTGGCGCAATATCGGCTCACTGCAAGCTCCGCCTCCCGAGTTCACGCCATTCTCCTGCCTCAGCCTCCTGAGTAGCTGGGACTACAGGCGCCCGCCGCTACACCCAGCTGGTTTTTTTTTTTTTATTTTATTTTTAGTAGAGACGGGGTTTCACCGTGTTAGCCAGGATGGTCTCAATGTCCTGACCTCATGATCCGCCCACCTCGGCCTCCCAAAGTGCTGGGATTACAGGCGTAAGACACCGCGCCCGGCCTCCAATTTATTTATAAGAACAACTGACTGATTTTAGGGAAAAGGGGAAGTCACTATCTGAATTTTAACAAAACTGCTGACTAACTGGTGACATGATTTTTTTTAATAGTAAAAAAATAGATAATAAAGCCAGCAATATACCTCTTACATGTGGTTCTACATATCTTGGTAAGCTGAGTTTTTCAGGTAGGACAGATATTATAAACAAGTACTAAAAACTGATCTAAGACTCCTACCTAACTAGTTCACAAAGAATTAATCTGAGACTAATATTTTTATTAAGCATAAATTGTTTGTGCAGCATATTTTTAAAATTCTTAAGTATAAAAAAAGAATATAAAAAAACTTCCATTTTGAAAGTAAAACGAAAGATAAAGCTAGGAAAGTACATGACATATTTAGGGACTAGAGAGTGAGTGCTACATTTAGTAAACAAAAAGGGTGGAAGATGATATCAAAAATGTAATCGGGGGGTCAGTTAGTTACTGGAGGGCCTTGAATTTGAACTTTTGATTTTTATCTGAAAACTGAAAGTCTTTTCAACAAACGGTGTTGGATCAACTAGACATTCACATGCCAAAAAAAAAAAAAAATGAATCTAGACAATGACCTTACAACTTTCACAAAAATTAACTCAAAATGAATCACAAACCTAAATGTAAAACACAAAACTATAAAATTCCTAGAAGATTACACAGGAGAAAATCCAGATGACCTTGGGTATGGCAATGACTTTTTAGATACAACACCAAAGCCATGATCCATAAAAGAAGTAATTGATAAGCTTCAATCAAATTTAAAACTTCTGCTCTGTGAAGAAAACAAGTCAGACTGGGAGAAAATATTTGCAAAAGACATCTACTAAAGGATTGCTATACAAAATATACAAAGAAAGAAACTGAAGGAAAAAAAACCTGAATAAAAAATGAACAAAAGACCAGAACACTTTACCAAAGATATACAAATGACAATTAAGCATATGAGAAGATATTCAACATCATATATCATTACGGAATTGCAACTGAAAACAAAAGTAAAATACCACTACACACCTATTAGAAAGGCCAAAATCCAAAACACTTAAAATACCAAATGCTGGCTAGAACGTAGAACAGAAATTCTCACTGATTACTAGGGGGAGTACAAAATGGTTCAGCCACATTGGAAGAAGTTTGGCAGTTGCGCCTACAAAACTCAATATACTCTTGCCATATTATCAGGTAATCCCTCTCCTTGGTATTTACCCAAATGAATAGAAAATATGTCCACACAAAGACCTACACACATTTATAGCAGCTCCCCTTATAAGTGCCAAAACTTAGAAGCAATCACGATGTCCCTCAGTGAGTGAGTGGATTAATAAACTGTGGAATATAAAGACATTGAAATATTATTTGATGCTAACAACATATGCCTCCCAAGCCATGAAAACATACGGAGAAATTTTAAAGGCATATAATTAAGTGAAAGACGCCAATTTGAAAAGGCTACGTGCTGTATGATTCTAACTATATGACACTCTGGAAAAGGCAAAACTATGGAGTCATTAAAAAAATTAATGGTTGACAAGGGTTGAAGGGAAGGACAGATGAATAGGTAGAATAAAGAAGGTTTTTAGAGTAGTAATGCTATTCTGTATGATACTACAATGGTGGATACAGGACATTATACATTTGTCAAAATCCATAATAGTTACAACACTAGGAGTGAACACTAAAGGAAACTATGGACTTTGAGTGATAAAGAAGTGTCAATGTAGGAAGGCTCACTGATTTTAACAAATATGCCACTCTGGTACAGAATGTTAACAGTGGGAAAAATTGTGCCTGTGTGAAGAAAGGAAGTATACAGGAACTCTGTACTTTTGGCTCAATTTTGCTGTGAACCTAAAACTGCTCTAAAAAACAGTCTCCTTAAAAAAATGATACTGGCCCAGGCACGGAGGCTCACACCTGTAATCCCAGCACTTTGGAAGGCAGAAGTGGGTGGATCACGAGGTCAGCAAATCGAGACCATCCTGGCTAACATGGTGAAACCCCGCCTCTACTAAAAAATACAAAAAATTAGCCGGGCGTGGTGGCGGGTGCCTGTAGTCCCAGCTACTCAGGAGGCTGAGGCAGGAGAATGGCATGAACCCAGGAGGCGGAGCTTGCAGTGAGCCGATATTGCGCCACTGCACTCCAGCCTGGGCCAGAGAGCGAGACAAAAAAAAAAAAACAAAACAAAAAAAAACAAAAAAAACATGATCCTGGCAACAACATGAAGTATGAGCCAGAAAAGGAGCTAAAGTGAGAGAAATCAAGTAAGAGGATACAATACTTTAGGCAAGAAACAAGGATGGATTAGACTACAACACTGGAGGAAGAAACAAAAAGCATTCTAAAATAGTATTCAAGTTTCTTGATGTATATAAACTAATCTACTAGTGACAATCATTGCAAATCTTTATGTGCAATGAGAAGGACTTATTTTCTCCAAATTCACAACAAACCAATAAGGTTTTTAGCAAAATACATGTGGTACCCTGGAATAACTTTCCAGGTTTACATTATGACAAACACATGCAGTGAGATTAAATAATATGTAATTAATTATTTTCATGCTTAAGTAGGAACTGGGTCTTCAACATTCTAAGGAATTTTTTAAAAACTGAAACACTATAAAAATAATAAAAGCATAGTTATTTAATGCTTAGTTTTCTTATACAGTCTGTGAAATAACTGAATAAAGACAACATCCTACTGAATAGTTTAATTTTTTAATGAATGTAAATTGTTATCTGTTTGAGAAATGAACTACTCCCTCCCAGAAAACTCCAAGCATTGTTAAATACATACTGAATACCTGTTAAAAATCAGTGTAAATAACTCAGTGTGGAGAAATAATTCTCTTTAAAATGACAATAAAAGAAATAATTGCTTTTTTGAAAGTTGAAAATTAGCCTCACCCTTTTCTTCAGGCTTTAAAGAAAAATATTTCTTCTCTGCAGCTATCAGTTCAGGCTTTGGAGCTATGGGAAAAAACATTAATACTTTTTTAAGAAGACAGTTTTAAAGCACAGAGACAATTACACTTCTAAAAAGTAAAGATGAGTTGAAAAATAACATCAGATGAAACCATGGTTTAATAGAAAGAACAATGTACCGGAATTACCAGGCTCAATTTCTAATCCTGGACCTGCCACTATTACCCTACTCTGTGGTCTCAGTTCCTTCTTTGTCAAATTTAGGTGTTAGAGATCATATCCTCTACCGTACTGCAGTATGGAAGAGCTGTGGTGATGAAAACATTCTATTTTTTCAGTATCCAACATGTGACTACTGAACACTTGAAATGGCACTCCTATGACTGAGAAACTGAATTTTTAAATTTTATTTAATCTTAAGTTTAAAAGCCACACATGGTTAGTGGCTACCACATTGAAGAGTAAAGCTATATAAAAAGCTTTCAACACCAACTTCTATAAAAATTACTTTTAACTTATGTTTTCTTTGCTCTAGGATTAGGTCAGCAAATATAAAGCTAAAACCAAGGGCGACAAAAAGACTTGAATTATTCTAAAAAAACAGCAAATCTTTTAGGAAATAGAAATTTTTATTACACTTGTAAAGATCAATTATTCGAAAATTATGGAAGCAAAGAGCCAGATTACAAAACTTTAACTCTTGAAGACACTTCTAGGTCTACCATAATTTATTCATCTGTTTAAAATCATCTACTTTGTTTAACCTTCAGCATATTCCCTGAAAAGAAGAGTACATAAATTATTATTTGAGACATTAACAAATGGATTTCATTTGAAACGGTAGAATAACTAGTTGGCCAGGTCAATATATTAAGTTTTCTAAAACAGTTTAAATTTGATTAATTTTATTAACTCAAAATTACATATAAAGTATCTACATTTTCAAGATCCCTATTTTATACCATTTGTACTTTAAGAAAAATGACAGATACTAATGCATGTGAACACTCAATTTTCATATATTTCTAAAAATGTTTACAGACATCATACTTGATAAAAATCAATAGTTTGCATTAGATCCAATTTTACCATTTTAGAATTTTAAAAAATGGAAAATAGCAAACTGAATAATATGCTTCTTACATACCTGGAGCCTTAGCAGGAGGTGGTGGTTTCTTTGGTTTCTGTTAAAATAATAATGGTGGAAACGGCTGACCAGTTTCATATCAAATATAGTTAAAATAAACTCTAATTAGTAATAATCTAAATTATACAAATGTCTCTCCTCTTCATTCAATCCTTGACAAAATATAAAATGCTAAGATCGTAAAAACTACCCAAAAAGTCAATGACAACAAATTATTTCATTAGAAAAAACAGCCTCATTGGTCAAAATTCAGTCAAATATCTCAATCCATATTTCAGTGGATTGAATAAACCTTAAAAATCTTAATGAGCAAAAATGTTCTGCTCTGCCTCCCCTAGGTTAAGATTCCTAAGTACCATTTTACCCCTCTTTTGCAGCTGGGGTTGTGGGGAGAGGAAGACTGGCAGAACAAGGGAGAGACCGTTTTTTTTTTTGTTTGTTTTGTTTTGGTTTTTAAAAACAGAGTAGCAACAAATAGACTTAGTTTTCACTCTTAACTCTTTGGAACTCTCAAAGGAACAGTTAAAGGCAAAGACATGTTTTTTCTCAATTTATAAACATTCGCTCATTTTTAAGACTTAATACCTTAAAATATTGATATACACTTCTAAGTTGGTGGACTTGGTTTTTACAAATTAAGAATAATTGATAAGCCGTAATGTACAAACATAATAAAAGCAGAAAAACGTATTCTTTAGTAAAACTATAAAATAAAGCATATGAAGGCTGAATCAATACTGAATGCAATCTAACAAAACAAAGGCCTCAGACAGCCTAAGCTTCCATAGAGTTGGAGAGTTATGCATTGGCTTAAACCTAACATGGTAGCCCATCCTGTTGTGTGCTTGTGTTGATGCTCTTTCCCTCTATTCTAAAAACTCTATTATATTCCTCATCCATGGGGAAAAGGGACCAAGTTGTAGGAAGGCAAAAGACCACTGATGAATGACTCAGCCTCACTTTTTCTCTGAGAAGTGACACAAAAATAACAAATTCTGTAAGGAGGCAGAGTGCTCTTGCCCTCCCAAAAAAATGCACCAACAGCATAACAGCAATATCCACAAGACCTTAAAATAAACTAGAGCTTTTCAACAACATTAAATAAAAATACAATTTCTTCCAGGAAAGTACTAATTTATGTTATTAGGATAGACAGCCCTTCTTAAATTATAAAATAAAGAAGTCTAAGGTTATTTTTCAGTACAGTCGAGAAAGAAACAAAGGAAGAATAAAGTACGGAACTGAAACATTATTTTGTTTTACTATAACTCAAATAACTCCTACCTGAATAGCTACATCTGAAACTCCTTCATAAAAATTATTCAATAATAATGCAAAAAAACTTGTTTGCAAAAGAATAGTGGCAAAATGTTCTTTCAAGTATTATCATCATTGAAAAACAAAAGCTTACTGGAAAGTCTTTATCAAGTTCATTTATCTGGACAGCAAAATTGTCTGGAAATACTCCTTCTTTACCATTAAGTTCGCCCCTCCACCAGCCAGCTTCTCCAGTCTCCTAAAAAGCAAAATAGAATAATTAAGACAATAGACCTTTTTTTTTTTTTTAAGATAAAGTGTTGCTCTGTTGGCCAGGCTGAAGTGCAGTGATGCGATCATGACTCACTGCAGCCTCAACCTCCTGGGCTCAAGTGATCCTCCCAACTCAGCCTCCCAAGTGGCTGGGACCACAGGAATGCAATCATAAACTTCTGGGCTCAAATGATCCTCTTGATTTGGTCTCCCAAAGTGCAGGAACTACAGGCATGAGCCACTGTGCCTGGCTGGAACTAAACAGATCACACTGTCCTAAAAGAAAATATTTCCCACGTATTACTTTTAGCAGCAGTTACAAAATTGCGTTTAGTTTTAAAAACTATATCAATTTTAAAATTCCATTTATAACGTTAAAATGTTCTCAGAGGAAAAAAGAGAAAGATAAAATGAGGCCGGGTACGGTGGCTCACACCTGTAATCCCAGCATTTTAGGAGGCTGAGGTGGGTGGAACACCTGAGGTCAGAAGTTTGAGACCAGCCTGACCAACAAGGTGAAACCCCGTCTCTACTAAAAATACAAACATTAGCCAGGCATCGTGACAGGCGCCTGTAGTCCCAGCTACTCAGGAGGCTGAGACAGGAGAATTGCTTGAACTCGGGAGGCAGAGGCTGCAGTGAGCCGAGATCACACCACCACTGCACTCCAGCCTGGGTGACAGAGCGAGACTGCATCTCAAAAAAAAAAAAAAGATATAATGAAAGGAAGTGGAAAAGAGAGGAAGGTGGAGAGGGAGAATATGAATTTCTAAACTGTATCCTTCTTAACACTTTTAACACTTTATATACTAAAAATTAATCACATTATTCAGCTGCTTTAAAAATTAACACGATTTGACCAGGCACAGTGGTTCATGCTTTGTAATCCCAGTAACTTCAGAGGCTGATGTGGGAAGATTGCCTGACGCCAGGAGTTTGCAACACCAGCCTGGGCAACATAGCAAGACCCTGTCTCTACAAAAAAATTTTGAAAAAAGAATTAATCAGGCGCAATGGGATGCAACTGTAGTAGTCTCAGCTACTTAGGAGGCTGAGGCAGGAGGATCACTTGTGCCCATGAGCTCAAGGCTGCATTGAGCTATGATCACACCACTGCACGCCAGCCTGGGCGACAAAGCTAGACCTTGTCTTTAATTTTTCTTTTTCTTTTTTTTTAATTAACAAGACCTTCTAAGTTTCTTCTAAATACCCACCACCCTTGCATGAAAAATTAGGTGTAATCAGTGCAAATTATATTAATATGAAAATTCACATACATTTATAAAATTCTTGCTAAATGATTTTAGCTGCTATTGCCACTAAAACAAAAAAGGTAACTATGTGAGATGACAGATGTCAATTTGCTTCACTATAATAACCTTTTTATTACTACGTATCCTATAACATCATTATACTTTACACAATAAAACTTATTTTTAAAAAAAATTATATACACTATGACATCTTATAACAAAGTCAGTGTAAAACAATGGGGCCAGGTGTGGTAGCTCACACCTGTAATCTCGGCACTTTGGGAGGCCAAAGCGAGAGGAATGCTTGAGCTCAAGAGTTTGAGACCAGCCTGGACAACATAGCAAGACTCCATTTCTACTTAAAAAAGGTTGGGGGTGGGGGGCAGAATTTCAAAAATTATTCTACAGGGTTATAGCAAAAACAAAATATTTGTAATTTTCCCATAATACTAGTTATTATAGGATTCTGCCCACACACAAGTAGTACTGGGTTTTCTCTTTATTTTGCATTAGGATTTATTCCAAGTTATAAAATCACTTCATTCTTTAAAATGGTGACATCATTTTCCAGAGTAAAAAGAGTTTCAGAACCATTTCCATACTCATGGATGTTTAGCTTGTTTCCCTATTTTTCTTCTGTTTACATTACAAACAACACTCCAAACGACAGACAGGAGAAAAAATAGAATGAGGTGGAAGAGAAGTAAGAATAAAAACCTGGGAAGTTGAGGTTAATTTTAAAAAAAAAGTACTTAAAAAAGAACAAATATGATGGTTAACAATAATTCCCAATATGTAAATTACAACAAATATAGTCAATAAAAGTTAGCTCAAAAAGAGAACGTTCTGAGCACTTATTACGTGCCAAGTTTTCAGGACTTAGAAACAAGACAAAGTCCCAGCTCTTCTAGATTCCAGGGTGAATATAAGAACACTCTAGGGTGAATGTATAACTTTTGAAAAATATTTCTATAAATAAATTAAGCAATTCACTGAAAAACAGAAACACCTTACCTTACTTATCAAATGGATTATCTCCCCCTCTTTAAAAGTAAGTTCATCTTCATTAGTACCTTCATAGGCAAATAATGTTCTACAATATTCTTTAGCTGAAATAAAGAATGTAAATAATGTGGCTCACACAAATGGATTCATTCAACAAATACTTATTTAGCCTCTATCTTGTGTAAAGTATACTAAAAGTTATTAGAGATGAACTTAATTATCTTTAAATTTTAAAATACTTATAGTCAATACCGTATGTTAAGTAACAATTTCATTAATCCATTCATTCAAATATTTACTGTTTGTGATGTTCCAGGCACAGATTCAACTACAAGGAGATACATCCATCAACCAACAAAGTATATCAAAATCCTTGACCTCATGGTGCTTACATCTAATAGAATTTGCTATTCTAATAAGACAGTGTAACAAATGCTTCCAACAAGTCTCTTAATACATTTGAGTATGTTTCTACTATTCCCAATATGAAAGCTTTATTCAAAAACATACCTTTAATTTTACCTTCGGTATCTGTTTTTGTTATCTCCACACTCTGAGTTTTGGGTCCCAGTGACTGTAGGATTAAGGGCTAGAATAGAAAAAAATGGCATAAACTATTTTAAGATAGAATAAAGATAATACTGTTAAACAAAGTTTCCATTTACAGTTACCCAGCTTTCCCTAATGGTACTTATAGCTAGGATAGTAATGTGACTGAAAACTTAGCAATGAAACAGGTAAAGGTCTCCAAAGTTCCTTAAATCATAGCTCAGAGCTACCAATTTAAAGATTCCTTGTCTCAAAGATAATATTCTCTGACGTCCATAGTATATTAATGAGATTTAATTTTAGAATCTCTAAAATAAATAAGAGGCTAGGAACCAGTGGTTCATGTCTGAATCCCAACACTTAGGGAGGCCAAGGCAGGAGAACTGCATGAAACCAGGAGTTCAAGGTTATAAGTGAGCTATGATTGTACCACTGCATTCCAGCCTGGATGACATGGTGAGACCCTATCTCTAAAAACTACAATAAAACAAATACAATAAATAAAAACAACAGCACTTGAGAACTTAAATCCCTGGGCTAAACACTTTATATAAATAGTGCAAATAGGACTAGTAGCCTCATAACTATCTGCATTAAGTGGGCACTATTCAAACAATAATACAAATTTGTATAAGTCATCTGTCCATAGTAAAAGGAATTTAGCAGCAAAGCCCAGATTTTAACCCAGAACTAAACCTTAAAATGAAAGAGGAGAAAAAAAAACTCTTTATACTTCATTGCTATCTGAATGTAAATGATTCAGGTAATCTTATGTTCCTTATAGCTACAGTCTACTAGACATTTTTCCATTGTAATCTGTAAAGGACTAACAGATTACAACAGTAATTTAACCTTATTATTTAACAGTAATTTAACCCAGAAACAACAGTACATTTAACCTTAGATGTCATTATTTAAAAATCTGAACACACTGCTAACTTACCTACCTACTACTGTGTCTTCTGTTATCTTCTAAAATACTTACTTTAGTTTTCCCCAACTCTAAACACCATATTGTGGTGCACCTACAAACACAGCAAATGTGCTCCCTATTTTATCAATTCCTGGATCAGTGATCAAAGCAAGCCTGACCAGACCATTATATAGGGTAACCCTGAGACTACAGTCACTAATAACAACTCTTGAGTAGTAGACATTATCAAGGATGATTAAAAGATAATATAATCATTAATCAACTAAAGTTATTCAATATAATCCTAAGCTTTAGAGTTAGAAGGGGCACAAGATCATCTAGTCTAATTTCTATCACAATGCCAAGAATTGCTTGTCCAACATTCCTAGCTGTTACATGGCTATAGAGCACCACCCCAAAAACCATGAGAATTCCAAACTTTACCTTTAAAACCAAGAATCAATTTGACCCCACAATCCTAATGCCAGATAGTCTCAGAGCTAGGAATATGTAGGATAGAAAGTGGAAGTTCTCTTTCCTGAACCCAACTCTTCACTGCTACATAAGAAAATACGTAGCAAGTTAGGAAAGGAATAAAAAAAGTTGAAACCACCTATCTTAGGAGGAAACTTAATAGTATCTCAATAACCAAAACACAGTCTTTAAATGAGATGTAGCTACACGAATCAAATAAATACTGAAATACTATAATTTCTTCAGAGTTAAAGAGATAGGACTGATAGAAGGAACTGTGAAAAAATGTTCTACAGACTGTAGCTATTTTACCACCAAATTAACAGCTTAAGGTTTTATTTTAAAGCCTCTTTTTAGTTCTTATAATTTATGGCTCACTTACTTGGTTTCATTTCACAATGCCAGCAAAATGCTAATGAAATAAAATACTCCACACATTCAAAGAAGTTTAGTAAATTTAATGAATGTTGACAATCTAGAGGAAATTTAAGTAGTGCCAAAATATCAAGTAATTTAATATTTTCTAAATCCATTTTAAAAACAGTCCATTTTAGGTCTAATTCAAATTAAATATATATTTATTATATTAATTATATATATAACTAAATTTATATATAATTTTAGCTTTAAAAGGCAAAAAACCCTCTAATTTTTATTTACACTGTGCTAACTAAAAACCCTAAAGCTTCTACTAAGTGTGTTAAATTTACCAAGAAATAAGCATTCTAATTTTATTAGATTCAAACATGAATATTAATCATTGTAAATTTGGAGACAAAATTTCTCACAGCCTCCTCATTCATAACCAAATTATTAGTGATCTGAAAAAAAGAAATCTAACAGAGTTACAAACTGACTTTTACATTTTAAAAAATGCTTAATGAGAGAATGAGTGGAGTTAATCTAACAAGTCCATCATTACCACCTTTTCTGGTTTTTTCTCTTCTGTTTCACTACTGGATGTTCTTGTCCGAAGTTTCACAGAGCCTTCTTTAAAAATGTCTCCAAATCCAATTCCTCGAATTTTCTTTGGCTGTGTAACTGATCCAGATGCAGTTTCACTCACATTTCCCAGAGAAGGTATAGGTGAAGTAGGCCCAGCCAAAACAGTTTCTGAAACAATAATTTGTTTTTGAAGAATGACACCTAGAATCACAAAACGCTTGACATCCTGTCATAATGTCTACATTCTATATGCCTTCTAATAAAACACAGTAGAAAAAAAATTAAACTATTCAGTACTGAAATATCCAGAAGAGCAAGATGCAATTTATGCAATTTACACAGACTTTTTTATTGTGCAAAACGATAATAATTTTAGGTAAATTTAATTAGTAAAATTAAGAAATCCTAATTAGGAAATCATGTCATACGAGGTCCTTAAAAACAGCATGTTGTGGTGGCTCACGTCTGTAATCCCAGCACTCTGGGAGGCTGAGACTGGCAGATCACGAGGTCAGGAGATCGAGACCATTCTGGCTAACACGGTGAAACCCCGTCTCCACTAAAAATATAAAAAAATTAGCCGGGCATGGTGGCAGGTGCCTGTAGTCCCAGCTACTCGGGAGGCTAAGGCAGGAGAATGGCGTGAACCTGGGAGGTGGAGCTTGCAGTGAGCCAAGATCACGCCACTGCACTCCAGCCTGGGCGACAGGGCAAGACTCCGTCTCAAAAAAAAAAAAAAAAAAAAAACACACAGCATGTCAATTTATAGCTTTTGGCCAAAGATGATATAATGTGAGACAAACAATAAAGACATAAGATTATTTTTTAAAGCTATATGATTCAATCCAATCAAAGTTAGCATGAGTTTCTCAATATAAAACTGGGAATGTTCAAAAATGTTTATTTTAAAAAGGTCAATAGTTCATAATCTGTTATTTTAGCTCAGAGATTAGGTAACAGGTCTAATTTCAAAGCAGTCAATGGAAACTCAATTACTATATAATAATAAAAAATTTTTAAGTTTAACATTATATGGGTAACAGCGTTTTTACATTCTTGCTCAGTAACAAGGGTTCTTATTTATAGGCTCAATGAGTCCACAAACAACCCTACGGAAAACTGTGTGGTTATTTTTATGTACTTTTTTCTGGATAAAACAGGTACAGCTTTCATCAGATCCTCAAAGAGCCTTATAATCTAAGTAAGAAACAAAGTTCTAGAGTAAAAATCCAGAAACATTTAAGACCGGGGGTACGGGGTAAGGAAAAATATGTGGTAACAGTTCACTGAACTAAGGTAGTCTGTTAAAAAATAACAGTAAGAACAATAGGGACAATAAAAATAGTAGTTACCATTTATTCAGAGCTAATTCTGTACCAGGCATTTGGCTAAGCACCGCATATGAATTATCTCATTTTTATAAGCCCACATGAGCTTCTTAACATTCAGCACTATTACTCCTCATTTTACAAATAAATAAACTTGGACAAAGGGATATTAATGACTTTCCCAGGGACCTACAGGTAGTCAGTAACAAAGTCAATTTTTGAAGTGAATTCTAGATGACCCCAAAACCACAGTCTTAAACAATTTAATATAATGGCTCAGACCAGAAAAGTCTCCAATCAAACGTGAGAATCTTTTTGCATCTATCGAAATGACCATTTTACAGGTGGCTTGCCAAAACAAGTTATTAACTTAAGAAATATAATGCTAACAAGTATAGTGATCTACCCTAACCATTTTCAATATTATCCTAAGTCACACAGAAGACTGAAGTGGAGAAGACAGTTTTGTAATATATTTTTAACATTCAACTTCATTGAGAGAATGTTTACAATGAATAAAATGAACCCGTTTTAAATATGCATTTCAGTAATGTTTGACAAATGTCGCACCATGTAAATACAACAAGATACAGAACAATTCGTCACCCAGCACTTGTACACCATCGCAGTGGATCCGGGCGCAGGCATGAGTCACTGCGCCCGGCCCCTGCTTCTTGATATACCTAGTACTTATTTAAAATTTTGATGTTGTTGAATGTTAAATTTTACAGTAATCCTTTACAACAGTTATTTCCAGTCAGGGTGGATTCTGCCTTCCAAGAGACATGAGGCAATAACTGAAGACATGTTTGGTTATTACAATGGGGGAGTGTTACTGACATCTAGTTAGCAGAAATCAGGAATGCTTCTTAACATCCTGTATGTGCCAGAGAGCCCCTGAAAACAAACAATTATCCAGCCCAAAACATCTTCAGTGACAAGGTTGAGAAGTTCTACTTTAACGAGTGCTGGCAAATTTTTAATTTTTTTTTCTGGCAAGCAGGTAAGTTATTTGCACATTAGTGTGAAGCTTTTTTAGGGTAGGATTAGAGCAACCTCCATTCTAAGGCTAATTTAGCCCCACTTCGCCTCTCTACTGAATTGCCCATGTAGTCAATAAAATCTCTGAAATCTAGAGAGAAAGAACTCAATTCTTGGCCTTGTATAAGCATACCAGAAATTGCTCATATTAACCCCTAGTAATTGCTCTTTCTTCACAAGCTGCTCATGTTCAGTCTCTGGGGTTTCACTGTATGCATTCACAGACTGGTGCTCAGCTAAACCCTCAAAACAACACCCAAGAACAGTTCTGGTGCGCTCTCTACATATAGTTCTCACTTCAGGTGTTCAGCAACACAAAATTCTAACTGCCTTTGTTTCCCTGAATTTTGATCAATCCTCAACAAAACCATAGCCTTCTGCTGTGGTTAGGTCCCCTTTCCTTATAATGCAGTTCAGAAATTAGCTCCTGGCAGAAACCTAGGACAATGGTAGAGCTCTCCTTTCCCCTTGTTCTTTCCCCTTTTCTCAGGAATACCAGTCCTGTGCAGTCTACTTTTTGGAAAAATTTGCTTCCTATATTTTCTCCAGTTCTCAAGTTTGTATGGTGGAAAAGTGAATTCCATACCATCTTGCTCCTGCATTGCCAGAAGTGTATTCTATATAGTTTTAATATATACCTCCAATAACCAGCCTGTTGGACAAAGCAATATTCTGATACAGATTAGTATATTAGGTGCATATCTAAAAGGCATTTTTAAAATGAAACTATCCATGGTATTAATAAATCATATATTGATAAAGACAACTTTAAGAGATTATTCTAAAGTACAATTTTCACAGTTTGAGTATTTGATTAAGGCCATAAAACAAAAAAAAAGGCAGGGAAGGGGGTTTGGATTTAGTGACTGTAACCTTTATTAGAGTCATTAAAATATATATCATTAAAATAGATGGCTAGATATCAAAAATGTCCAGTACTAATGGATAGGCTATTTTTGGCTAAATGAAAAATACCAAATTTTACTACCACGTTTGCTATTAAATCAATGGTTGCAAGGCAGCATGGTATAGCGGTAAAGTATATGAACTCTAGGGTCGAATTTTCTTGATTCATATCTTGCCCCCTCCATTATATTTGCCCAATCTCTTTGCCTGTAAAATGGGGAACTTCACAGGATTGCTATGAGAAGTAAACTAATTTATTCCTGTGAAGTGCTTTAAACAGTGCCTGGCTCAGTGTCTATTATTTTTTTAAAACTTTAAAAGATGTATCACTGAGAACCATTAAGTGACAGAGAGAGCACTGATCACAAAGAAGCAGTAAAGTATAAAAGGGAAAACAGCCACTGGAAAGAAGAAAAGAGGATAAGGAGCAAGGAGAAAGGAAAAAGGAGGAGGAAAAAGGGCATGCAGGAGGTGCCATAATGAGACAAAACAGTAACCTTATCTATATGGTACTTCTAACACTTTAATACCCATATACTTTACCCATCTGATTGTCCTTGAATTGCTATGCTTGAAGAAAAACATCTGCATTTTATGTATGTTGCTATCAGTCATAAAACAAACAGCAAATCTGTCTATCGAGCCTAAACCCTCCCTCCTCCTTCTTCATTAAATCTCTATAGCAAAAGCTACTTGATGGCTTGTATCTTCATATAAAGTGACTTAAAAGAACTGCAAAATGCAATTACTTGTTTGGAGAAAAACGGAAACAAGAAACCACATGTGAACTGCACTGAAAGCTTAAAAAAAAAAAAGAAATCTGATGAAAATAAAAAGCATTTAATAGAATCAATCCAAGTTCACCATTAAAGTCATCTTTCACCATTATTCTCAAGGATTTTGTAAGTCGATCATGCAGGTGTGGGTGCGGGTGTTTTAACTGGACTTAAAATCAATCAATATTGCATAGTTCCTAAAAAGTACACATAGAAAGAAGGTCTGGCTGTTAGCAATAACTTAGAAAGATCCACAACGTACTACCAGTAAGGGCATCAAAACTCCAGAAAAAGTTTCCTTGCAAAGCTGCTCACCAGGAGGAGTATAAGGTGAATACTAATATATGATTACAGACCCCAAGGTAAACTGTATAATACCTTGACTCCTGGTGACTAGCCTGCAGACTAACAAATTTCTATCTACTATCTTTGGCACACGAGGTATACAACCATTTCCCCAGGATCCTGTGTCTCATCAGCAATGAGCACTTTCTTCTATTCCAGAACCTGAATAATCAAATAAAACTTCAGCTGACTCCTCCTAAGAAAATGAACTTTTTCTACCTGTAAGAGACTAGAACTCTTGAAGAACAATCCATCAGGGTTTCTTAAATGTTTTGTGTGATGCATCCATCTAGTTGCCCGGTAAAGCCTAGAGGGATAAATGGCACAAACATTTAAGAATCCCTGCTGGAACCTCTTCATCTCCTCAAAATTCTGACCTCACCACTTTGCAACTTATTCGTAACATTACTCCTTTTCTATAGAAGATATCAAAAGTCAGAAATATCTTCCTCAGCTTCCTACCATTAAGCCTACTAACTCTGATCTATCTCCAATAAATTGAGACTAATCATAATAGCCATAATGTGAAACGCATTTCCTCCACCTTCTGGATAAATTCTATTGTGCTGATAACCACCATTCTTCTGAGTTTCCATCTTCAACTGCTCTCCTACTTGTCAGCCATTAGTATGTCAAGATGATCAACACTTTTCCTTTTTAAGAAAAAGAACAAAACAAATCTTGAATATATGTTGTCATCAAATGCTGCAACTGCCTTATACTTACTCTCTACACTGCCTAACCTCCTTTCTTCTTTAATTTGGCTTCTGCCCTAATCACCTCAAAACTGCTCTTGTCTAGGTCCTTAATGATCTCTTTTACTTAACCTCCCAAGTAATATCTGACACTATTGCCCTGCCTCCCTGAATAACTCTCCTCCCTTGACTGACTACCACACTCTCATAGGTTTCTTTCTGGCTCTCTCCTTCTGTGCTTTCTTGGTCTTCTTTTCAGTTAATCTTCCTCAGTCCATTCCTTAAATGTCACTACACAGGATTCCATCCCAGGGTCTTTAGTTTTTTTCTTCACTCTGTATATTCTCCCTAGGTCATCTAATCTAAATCCATCGTTTCCTTATTTATTTATTTATTTGAGACGGAGTCTCACTCTGTCACCCAGGCTGGAGTGCAATGGCACAATCTCAGCTCCCTGCAACCTCCGCCTCCCAGGTTCAAGCGAATCTCCTGCCTCAGCCTCCCAAGTAGCTGCGATTACAGGTGCACACCACCATGCCCAGCTAATTTTTTTTGTATTTTTTAGTAGAGACGGGGTTTCAACTTGTGGGCCAGGCTGGTCTCGAACTCCTGACCTTGTGATCCACCCACCTCAGCCTCCCAAAGGGCTGGGATTACAGGCATAAGCCACCGCGCCCAGCCTACTCATCGTTTCTTATACCACCTAAAGTACTATCAAGCCCCAGTTTTGCACAGACATCCGAATTTTTCTAAGGATTCAGACCCATAGACAACTGACTACCAAATATCTTCATTTGGATGCTCTCACATCCCTACAAGCCTCAAATTTAATATCTCCAAAAGTGAATAGCCAACATGGTAGTAAAAGTTGGTAATTTTCAATGATCCAAAAATAATTAACCTACCAATTAGTACTGCCTATTTTCAATATCTAGGCATCTATTTTAACGATACATCATCATCTCCCAATATCCTATCTCTGCAAATGACATCTCCATCTTACAAAGCCAAAAACCTGGTAGCAGTTGGCTCCTCTTTTTCGGTCATCCCCCAAATAACATTATCACTAGGTCCTGTTCTTTGTGCTATCACTTATATAGATCCTATTCTACACGTGTCTCTCCATCCCCATAGCACTCCTCTAGTTTAGGCTAATTCTACCTCATTATCAAAACATTCTCAACTGGCGTCAGCAGCTCAGTCTCTTCTCCAATCTACTCCCCACATTGCAATTCACTCTCCATACTGCCACCAATTTATCTGAAAAACAATCTCATGATTTTGCTCTATGGCTTCTCTGTGATTTGATTAACACTTTTGTAATGTTTTCTTATGTCTGACCCAATAATTTCTCCAGGCTCAACATTCACATCTAATTATATACTCTATAATGCCTCTGAATTAAATCTCTTTCAGGATCTTGCAGTGCTATGCTTTTCCTCACCCTCTGCCACAAACTTGCTTAGAAATTTCCTAGCCATTTTGGGATCTCAATCTATGACTTCTTCTAGGGCACATTCCTTCACAGCTTGCCAAGTCTGGATTAGCCCACTTATATACATTTATTGCACCCTTTCCTGTAACAAATATTTCTCCTGCTAAATTACAATCACTTTTTTAAATCATCTTTTCTTTCCCAATGGAAAAAAAAGCTTCAAACAAGGGGGGTAAATCATGCCTATGTTGCTGATCACTGTATTCCCAGGACTTTGTACAATACATTAACAAAAGGCACTCAATATATTGAATGAATAAATATATGAATGCTGAATTAACTAAACAATTGTATTTATATCTAGAATTTCCCTTTGCCGGCTTTGACTTTTAAATTTCAGATTTTGGAATACCCTGCCTTCATGAGAAATGCTAGTATACGCACATATTACTACTCACAACCCTCAAAGAGCTGAACGTACATGAAAAGATAGTTCTATAAGCATACCTAAAAGAAAATTAGATGAAGATAGCAGCAAACAAATGGACTACAATAGTGAAAAACCACCAAATTTCCATACCCCATATGTTAAACAGCATAGTAAAGTTAAAAAAAAAAAAACTGGGAAATCAGAAAAACAAAACTCTAATGATTTTACCACTCAGTAGTTAAATAATCTCAGGAGTTTCCACTTCTTGACCCTTAAAATGGGAGTGACATTAATCTTCTTAAAAGCTAAGAGGATTTATTCTACTATAAAGACACATGCATGCATATGTTTACAATATTTACAGCACTATTTACAATATCGCAGTCATGGAACCAACCTAAATGCCCATCAATGATAGACTGGATAAAGAAAATGTGGTACATATACACTATGGAATACTATGCAGCCATAAAAAGGAATGAGATCATATCCTCTGCAGGGACATGGATGACGCTGGAAGCCATCATCCTCAGCAAACTAACACAGGAACAGAAAACCAAACACTGCATGTTCTCACTCATTAGTGGGAGTTGAACAATGAGAATACATGGACACAGGTAGGGAAACACACACCAGGACCTGTTGAGGGGTGAGGAGCGGGGGAAGGGAGAATTGAGAGGATGGGTCGATAGGTGCAGGAACCACCATGGCACACTTATACCTATGTAACAAACCTGCATGTTCTGCATATGTATCCCAGAACTTAAAGCAAAAACCAAAACAACAACAACAACAAAAACTCAAGAGGATTTCACTTGACAAAAGTGTTTGAAAAGTTCTACATATACCACAAAAAACTATTCACTGTTTCACTGAGCATCAACATATCAGAGACCATTCTAGACAATGAGTAAACAAATACATACATACATATATATATATGTGTATGTGTATATATATATATATATATATATTCTAATGAGCAGGTAGACAGACAATAAGCTTAATAAGCAATAGCAACAAATTCTTCTTTGAAACGTTAAAAAAAAAAGAGAAGAGAATTAAAAAGTGGATAATGGGGACTTTCTGCTGTTTTACACAGAGCTGTCAGTAAGGGCCTCACTGATAAGGTGATTTCTGAGAGAATCCTGAATCAGACAAGTAGCCATCAGGACATCTTGAAGAAGAGGATTCCAGACAAAGGTATACAACAAGCACAAAGGCTGTGAGAGAGGAATGTTCCTAACATCCTTAAGAAACCTAAGGTGACCAATGTGAACAAAGGGGAAAGTTAAATAAGAGATGAGGTAAGAAAGGTGGAGGGAGGGATATGGGGATGCCAGATCATAGAGGGATTTGTAGCCATTTTAAAAGATTTTGGCTTTTAGTCTAAGTGAAATGCAAAGCTACTGGAGGGTGATCACTACTGGCTACCAGACTATTCAGTAAGTAGGTAATGGCATATAGGCTATGGTAATTATACAGCAAAAGATAACTTATACCAGGATAGCGGCAGTGAAGGTGGTAAAAAGAAAATAGATTCTAAACATTTTTTGACAAAATCTGTTAATGAATCATGGTAGGGTGCGAGGTTAAAAAGAAGAGTACAAGAGAAATCTAAGAATTTTGGCCTGAGTAAAAGAAGGATGAATTTCTCCTTAACTCAGATGGGGAAGATTACATGGAGCAGGAAAAAAAGGCAGAGGATCAATTTTGGGCATCTTAGGTTTAAGATGCCTATTAGACATCTAAATGGAGATTCTTAAAGAGGTTTAATGTGGAAGACTTTTAGAAAAGGGTGGAAAAGACAAGTATATACAGTCACTGGTTTCATAAAATAAGGGGAAAATTTGAAAACACATTCCTATTTAGCAAATAAGTGGAATCTGCATGTTAACAAAAAGACCCTCTAAATAAGAAGGGTTAAGTATATTTGACAAAATTAAAAAGGAGACATTACAAAACCGAAACATAACACTTTCCTAGCAAAGCAATGCTTTCCCTGAGACTGAATACTAAAAGAAATTTATCTTGGACTTTTATATAGAAACCACTCAGTAACAGAATAGATGATTAATTCACCACATTCCTACAGAAAACATAATGGTGGCATTCTTAAAACTTTTATCCTACAGTTCTTCAATGAAAACTGAGGATCTAAAAATAAATTATCTGTGAAGACTCAACATTGTCCATATATTATTAAGAGTCAGAATTATCTACTTAGCAAGTAATAGAGTTTAACTGGTCAAACCAAGAACATAATCCCATTACTACATAAGAGAGGATGGAGGAAAAAGGGAAAGGGAGGAGGAGGAGAACACTATTAAATTTAAAAGACTGTGAGGAGAAACTATATGATATAATCAAATATAGTGGATATGACATTCCAATAATGAAAGCAAAAAAGAAAACACTTATATAATGTACATTCTACTATAATTTTTCTAACAGCTACGAGGAACATAATTATTTTACTGACTGAAAAGATTGTCAAAACACCAATTATGGACAGAGGCTGTTACACTTTGTTAGGACACAGGAAAATTTTAAGTAGTTACTCCTTATATAATGCTCACTTCCTGGCATTCACAACAATATGCAGAAACTTGCCTAAAATTTAGAGTTGGGGAAAGAAAAAAAAATTATAGTGTACTTCAACCACTGACTTTCCACCCCATAATCACAAAGCTCCACATTTAGAATGAACAGTTATTGTAAAAGGGTTAAACAAAGAAGGAAGGGTATTTCTAACAGATAAAATTCTGCGCAGTTACTAAAATCCAAATCAAGCTGAATAGCATAAGAAAATGTGCAAAGTATTTTATAATTATAAAAGTAATGAACTAAATTCAAATATAAATTAGATCTCTTGTGCTGGTGGTCCCATACAAACTTTAAGTTGTAAATATTTTAAAGGCTCAGTTTTATATGGCATCACAAAGATCATTTCACTCATATGCTTTAATTTACACCAAATTTTAATGTTAAAAGTAGGTATCAAATGATCCAATACCTGTGAACCCTAAGAAATACTAATGTGCATCAAAAGTAACTCAGGAGACAGTTTGCTAAGAGATGAATGCCCCATTAAATTTAAGCCACGTGTTTTTGGTACTTATGTATGTTCTCTAATGGTTTTTACACACCCTTAAACATCAGTTCTGACTTCAGAATTGTTATCGAGTACTCTCAAATAAATGTAACATAAAATAGTGAAAGTACATCTAGTTGGTATGATTCCTTCTCCACTGATTCCTACCTCAATGATTTTTCTATCTTTCAATACAATCAGCATCTCCATTAAAGAAAACTGAAACTATTAAAACAATTGAAACTAAATTAAACAACTAGAACTATTTTTGTTAATATTTTTGTTTAATTCATTAAAGAGCCTTAGAAAAATTTAGAATTTTTACAAGTTTATTGCTAAGTTAAAGAGAAAAGAAATAGTGGAAGAACACTTAAAAATGAGAGGCAACTGGGCATCCCAAGTCACATTAAACAGCCAGGGAGCTCACGCTTTTTTCATTACTTTGTAGCACGTATAGTATGTAGCACTTACAGAGAGCTAAAAACTAATGTAAGAGTAAATTAACTCCTTTGAAAGGCTAATGAGCTTTAAAGAAAGGGATTCTTTAAAGGTAATCCACAACGAATATATGGTAGAGCATAATACTGTACACAAATGTTTGGTGCCCCTCCTTGTAAGAAAATTACATATCCCCACCCTGCTGCACTTACGCATGCATGACCATAACCACCAAATACAATGTTAGTGGAAATGACATGTCAATTTTGGACAGAAGCTTTAAAAGCCATCCTTCTTTTTCCCTGCCTCTTCAAGAATTAGAAAGTTGCAGATTATATTTTCTAATGTTTCCTGTGACATTTCTGAGATGAAAATTTGCATATTAAGCAAAATGTAGTGGCAAACAAAGTATTACATTTAGAAATATCTTCCTCCAACATTTTCTATACCTACCTAAAGTAACGCAAGTCATTTTATACTATTAGCATACTTACTTCACATTTGTCTTCCCCCTAGAGATGTGATACTTGCACCTCTGGACTACATAGGGATTACATACGCTCAGAAAATCAGAACTGAAAATCAGAACAAGGGTTAAGAAATGTTCACTTGTTAAAATAGCTTCCACTTCTTCCTTTGGTCACGTTTATTCTAAAAATTATAGCAGAGTTCAAACTATTCCTCAAACTAAATTTTTAAATGTGATACAAAGTTTTATTTGTTCATTTCTTGCATTTGAAGGACTCTTCGATGACATACTGGGCGTAAGATTCTTTGCCATAGTCCTTAACTACTACCCAACCACAACCAATTTCTTTATAGGGTTTTCTCTCTCTGTCAATTTTACAGAGGCCTACCCATTCCCCTACAGTTGCTTGTTGTCATCAACCTTCATTAGGTTGATTTGGTGTTCAGCACCAAGGGCCTCCACCAACTTGACATACAAAGGCTCATCACAGTTGGATGCAAGCACACAAACATGAGCTTGCCACTTGTCTAAGGCTTGGCCAGCTTCACAAATTTCACTGCTAGGCTACTGTGGATGAGGGTGGTCTTCTGAACCTCCCATAAAGCAGTGGCAGTATTAACATCCATTACATCTCCAGCAACAATACCCTCTTCTACCACAGCAGTGGGTTCAGGTGAAGCCAAATCTTCAACACATCCAAGCTTTTGCTTATGCAAGACTTGTTGGTGGAAGGCAAAGAGCCATCAAACTAATTTATGTCTTCACTTTATAACTTAAAAATTATTACTATAATTAACTGAAAACTCTGACCCAAAAGTCTGGTATTATACCAGCAATTTTTCCTCACAATCTCATTATTCCTAGCTCTCATCATTAGATCTGATATATACTGTCTACTTTGTAGAACAATTACTGGTATTTTATGACTATGTAAAGTAACATTTTTTCCTGTCACTTTCTAAAATTCCAAGAGGTGTCTTTTACATCAATCTTTTAGACACTAAATTCATGTTGGTTTTTCTATACTCATAGTTTATTGATAAACCACGAATTATAATATTGCTTTCTAAGCATTCATCCTTTCAAGCCTAATATTAGATGGCTTTTATACTAAAAAGCAAACGAACAAGGCAACACAATTGTAGCTTGCGATGTTTAGATAACTAAAACTTGGAAGAAAAATTAAATTTCCTTAAAAGTAAAGCAAACTCAGCCGGGTGCAGTGGCTCACGCCTGTAATCCCAGTACTTTAAGAGGCCGAGGTGGGCGGATCACGAGGTCATTGAGACCATCTTGGCTAACACGGTGAAACCCTGTAACTACTAAAAATACAAAAAAATTAGCTGGGTGTGGTGGTGGGCGCCTACTTGGGAGGTTGACGCAGGAGAATGACGTGAACCCGGGAGGCGGAGGTTGCAGTGAGCCAAGATCGCGCCACTGCACTCCAGCCTGTGTGACAGAGCGAGACTCCGTCTCAATAAATACATAAATAAATAAATAAATGTAAAGCAAACTCAATTACTCATTTCACACATTTCTATGGTCAATGGGCTTAGAAATAAAATCATTAGAGATGAAAATATACCTTCTGGTATTAAATTGGAATTAGAGGTACTAGTAAAGATGGATAAATAGATGAATGATCAAGACATATGGGTAGAGGTATGGGATTGTATGTGCATGTAAGCATTTCCCAGCTTAATCCACTAAGCAGGCTCAGAAGCATTACCCCAGTAGCAATGACCACACCTCTACCCAGATCTTGATGCCCAAACACTATTCCTCTCTTAAAAAAAAAAAAAGTTTGCCTTGATAGGTAGCTGATTCCAAGACTAGGGTAGGGAAGGTTCAAAATGAGCTTGGAATATCTTATATCACAGAGTAAGGAAGTTCACAGAAAATAATGGAGACATGTCAAAATGACATAATACTGCAAACTAATCCATAATGACAAACCAGATCTATGATTGCCTAGGACTAAGGGCAGAAAAAGAAATGGACTGCAAAAAGCATGAGCAATATTTTGGGGGTGATGGAAATGTTCTGTACATGTTTTCATGGATTTATACATCTGTCAAACTCATCAGATTGTATATTTTAAAGGGACACAATTACTGTATGTAAATTGTACCTCCAATAAAGTTGACTTTTTTAAAAAGTCACAGAAGTTACCTTGAAGGAACTCTCACTAGCAAAATCATACAGTTATCAAAATAAATAATACTGGTAATAGACTGATACCTGATGAATAAAACAGAACCCTCTGATGAGCCCACACTGATAAATACATAAACCGGAGAAAGACAAAAGTTTGTCTTTAGAGTAAAATATTAAGTAATACACATAGAAGGGATGATGGTATTAGAAAATCACCATTTTTGGTAACCATCATAGTAACAACTATTTGAGTAAAATTTATCCATGATGCTAAAACTGTTGAGTGAAAGTCTGATGAGGAATAGCATATTTACATAGTCTCAAAGTATCTCTCCATGAAACACTTATTGTAAGAAGAAAAACAGTAAAAGTACAGTGGCAGCACAGCTGTAACTAAATTTATGATTAAATTTTAATCAAATTTAACATCCCCAATAAAAAAAGACATGGACACCATGTGCCTCCAAATATTACATAAGACATCGTCACTCCATAGTCCTGCCAATAAAATATAATCTGAATCTAATCATGAGGAATCGGGGGAAAAAGACAAACAAACAAACAAATGGGGCCATTCCACAAAATAATCAGCCTAAACTCTTCAAAAATGTCAATGTCAAGAAAACAAAAAACAGAAAAAGGCTAGAAGACTATTACAGATTTAAGAAACACTGGAAATAAATTCCATGTATAATCCTTTTCAGGACTGGGAGGAAAAAAACAGCTATAAAGAACATGCTGGAATAATAAAAAAAAGGTGTATGGAGATTACAGAATAAACAATATTATCAATATTAAATGTCTTGATTTTGATAACTGTACTGTAGTTACATAAGAGACTAACTTTATTCTTGGGAAATACACATTGAAATACTAAAGAATAAAGATAAAATACAGATATCTAGATAGAAGGTGAATGATAAGTTAGCAAATGGGGTGAAATGTTAAAAATTCGTAAATCAGGGTAAAGGATCTAAGAGAGGTCTTTGTTTTATTTTTATAATTTTTCTCCAAGTTAAAAAAAAGTTTCAAAATAAATCACTGTACTGGAGTTAGAAGGATGGACCCAGAGATGAGTAATATAATAGTATGGAAATGTATAGAGGAATGGGATCCAAAAGCCCAAATTCTTAGAAGTCCTGGTTCTAACAAAAATAAATATATAAAATAATATGTAAATCATGACTTAGGTTTCTCTACTATAAAATGAAGGGGTTGTACTAGGACTTTCTAGCTCTATATCTAGATTTTTATGAACTTGCTCTATTGCTTCATGCTCTTTTCTACCACAGCAAAAGCCTGACTCTTCTGCAGGCTCCATACAAGAATTAGGTGGGAAAAAGCTGCATGAATCATTCATGTACAAACAAACCATAATTATGGATGAAGACAAAAGTGTCAAGGAGCTTAATAAAGTCTAAAATGGTGGAATGAGAAACAGAGCACATTAACTTTAGTAATAATCTTAATGATTTCTAGAAATCTTTTATCAATTATGTTTAATAGAATCATCTATTAAATTTTAAAATATTATCTGACTTTTTTCTCTAAAATTAATTTTCTTGGCCAGATGTGGTGGCTCACATCTGTAATCCCAGCACTTTGGGAGGCTTCAACTGCTTGAAGCCAAGAGTCCAAAACCTGTCTGGTCAACATAGTGAGGCCCCATCTCTTAAAAAAAAATGTTTTTAATTAGCTGTGCATCATGATGCATACCTACAGTCCCAGCTACTTGGCAGGCTGAGGCAGAAGGATCACTTGAGCTCAGGAGGTTAAGCTGTAGTGAGCTATGATCATGCTACTGCACACCAGGCTCGGCAACAAAGTGAAACCCTGCCTGTTAAAAAAAAAAAAAAAAAATTGCACGAAACAGAGAGACCGTTAGCCAGACTAATAAAGAAAAGAGAGAAGAATCAAATAGACATGGATAAAAAATGATAAAGGGGAGATCACCACTGATCCCACAGAAACACAAACTACCATCAGAGAATACTATAAACACCTCTACGCAAATAAACTAGAAAATATAGAAGAAATGGATAAATTCCTGGACACATAAACCTTCCCAAGACTAAAACAGGAAGAAGCCAAATCCCTGAATAGACCAATAACAAGTTTTGAAATTGAGGCAGTAATTAATAGCCTACCAACCAAAAAAAAGCTCAGCTCTAGATGGATTCATAGCCGAACTCTACCAGAGGTACAAAGAGGAGCTGGTACCATTCCTTCTGAAACTATTCCAAACAACAACAAAAAAAGGACTCCTCCGTAACTCATTTTATGATGCCAGCATCATCCTGATACCAAAACTTGGCACGGACACAACAAAAAAAAGAAAATTTCAGGCCAATATCCCTGATGAACATCAATGCGAAAATCCTCAATAAAATACTGGCAAACCAAATCCAGCAGCACATTAAAAAGCTTATCCACCACAATCAAGTCAGCTTCATCCCTGGGATGCAAGGCTGGTTCAACATATGCAAATCAATAAACATAATCCATCACATAAACAGAATCAATGACAAAAACTGCATAATTATCTCAATAGATGCAGAAAAGGCCTTCGATAAAATTCAACACTGCTTCATGCTAAAAAACTCAACAAACTAGGTATTGATGGAACATATCTCAATATAATAAGAGCTATTTATGACAAAGTCATAGCCATTATCATACTGAATGGGCAAAAGTTGGAAGCATTCCCTGTGAAAACCGGCACAAGACAAGGATGTCCTCTCTCATCACTCCTATTCAACATGGTATTGGAAGTTCTGGCCAGGGCAATCAGGCAAGAGAAAGAAAGGGCATTCAGCTAGGAAGAGAGGAAGTAAAATTATCTCTGTTTGCAGATGACATGATTGTATATTTAGAAAACACCATCATCTCAGCCCAAAATCTCCTTAAGCTGATAAGCAACTTCAGCAAAGTCTCAGGATACAAAATCAATGAGCAAAAATCACAAGCATTCCTATACACCAATAAAAGACAAACAGAGGGCCAAATCATGAGCAAACTCCCATTCACAATGGCTACAAAAGGAATAAAATACCTAGGAATCCAACTTACAAGGGATGTGAAGGACCTCTTCAAGGAGAACTACAAACCACTGCTCAAGGAAATAAGAGAGGACCCAAACAAATGGAAAAACATTCCATGCTAATGGATAGGAATAATCAATATCATGAAAATGGCCATACTGCCCAAAGTAATTTATAGATTTGATGCTATTCCCATCAAGCTACCACTGACTTTCTTCACAGAATTAGAAAAAAACTACTTTATGTTTCATATGGAACCAAAAAAGAGCCCACATTGCCAAGACAATCCTAAGCAAAAAGAACAAAGCTGGAGGCATCATGCTACCTGACTTCAAACTATACTACAAGGCTACAGTAACCAAAACAGCATGGTCTGGTACCAAAAAAGATATATAGACCAATGGAACAGAACAGAGGCCTCAGAAATAACACCACACATCTACAACCACCTGATCTTTGACAAACCTGACAAAAACCAGCAATGGGGAAAGGATTCCCTATTTAATAAATGTTGTTGGAAAAACTGGCTAGCTGTATACAGAAAACTGAAACTGGACCCCTTCCTTATACCTTATACAAAAATTAACTCAAGATGGATTACAGATTTAAACGTAAGACCTAAAACCATAAAAACCCTAGAAGAAAACCTAGTCAATACCATTCAGGACATAGGCATGGGCAAAGACTTCATGACTAAAACACCAAAAGCAATGGCAACAAAAGCCAAAATTGACAAATGGGATCTAATTAAACTAAAGAGCTTCGGCACAGCAAAAGAAACTATCATCAGAGTGAACAGGCAACCTACAGAATGGGAGAAAATTTTTGCAATCTATCCATCTGACAAAGAGCTAATATCCAGAATCTACAAAGAACTTAAACATATTTACAAGAAAAAAAAAAAAAACTCCATCAAAAGGTGGGCAAAGGCTATGAACAGACACTTTTCAAAAGACGACATTTATGCGGCCAACAAACCTATGAAAAAAAGCTCACCATCACTGGCCATCAGAGAAATGCAAATCAAAATCACGATGAGCTACCATCTCATGCCAGTTAGAATGGCGATCATTAAAAAGTCAGGAAACAACAGATGCTGGAGAGGATGTGGAGAAATGGGAACACCTGTACACTGTTCACGGGAGTGTAAATTAGTTCAACCATTGTGGAAGACAATGTGGCAATTCCTCAAGGATCTAGAACTAGAAATACCATTTGACCCAGCAATCCTATTACTGGGTATACACCCAAAGGATTATAAATAATTCTACTATAAAGACACACACACACATATGTTTAATGCAGCACTATTTAACAACAGCAAAGACTTGGAACCCACCCAAATGCCAATCGATGTTAGATTGGATAAAGAAAATGTGGCACATATACACCATGGAATACTATGCAGCCATAAAAAAGAATGAGTTCAGCTGGGCACAGTGGCTCCCGCCTGTAATCTCAGCACTTTGGGAGGCCGAGGCGTGTGGATCACCTGAGGTCGGGGGTTCAAGACCAGCTTGACCAACATGGAGAAACCCCATCTCTACTAAAAATACAAAAAATTAGCTGGGCGTGGTGGCACATGCCTGTAATCCCAACTGCTTGGGAGGCTGAGGCAGGAGAATCGCTCCTAGTCTGGGCAACAAGAGTTAAACTTTGTCTCAAAAAACAAAATTAAAAAAAAAAAGAATGAGTTCATGTCCTTTGGAGGGTCATGAATGAAGCTGGAAACCATCATTCTCATGAACAGAAAAGCAAACACTACATGTTCTCATTCATAAATGGGAGGTGAACAGTAAGAACATATGGGCACAGGGAGGGGAACATCACACACCGGGGCCTATCAGGGGGAGGGGGGTGAGGGGGGCGCAAGGGGAAGGATAGCATTAGGAGAAATACCTAATGTAGATGACGGGTTGATAGGTGCAAACCACCATGGCACATGTATACCTATGTAACAAACCTGCACGTTCAGTACATGTATCCCAGAACTTAAAGTATAATTAAAAAAAAAAAAAAAAGAAAAGGAAAAAAAAATTGCATTCTTTTACCACTGAGTGCACTGAGGTTTATAAACCCATTTGCTATACCAACTTTATGTTTTCCTACTTAATTTCAAAATTTTTACTCTTCCATATGTAAGACACTGAAAGTACTGATAAAAGAAAGCAAGAAAAAAAAAACTAATAGCTCACAACAACCTATGACGCTGCAAACATTATGCTTAGAAACTGTCAATGCACGAAACAGCCCTTTCACGTTAAAAAAAAAATTATTCCTGTTTTGCAAACAAAAAAACTACAGTTAAGCAAAGACAACCAAGGCACAGTTTTCTGCCATCACGGAAGACTAACACCTTAGTATGATCTTGTATGTAAAGATAGATTAAAACATATAAGTGTAGCATTGGGACACAATGACAAGTATTCAGTACATAAGCAGTCTGAGCAATCTTACAACTTCATCTCATTATTTTTAATATTTAGTTTTCATATATTTGCATTAAGCCGGTTCTAAAAACAAAAACCAATGATACTGGCAACCTTAAGGTTATGATCTACTCCTAATACCTATAAATCCAACTAATCATAAAATTGCCAAATAATATTAGCTAATGCAAATCCCCGAAAATTCTCACTACATATACATTTCCATCGAGAAAAACATATTCTTATCCCTACATTTCCACTTGTAAATTCAAGACCTCTTTTGGAAAACAAAAAAAACTCTCCTAATTCCAACAGCAATTCTTAAAAGTAACAAAATTTAAATCTAGCTTTGGGGTAAAATTTTGTCAATCATACTCTTAAATGGTGAGCAAATTAAGAAGAATTTGTGGGTGAGTCTCTAAATAACTAACATCACAAAATAACTAAATGACATTTGGCTGCCCAGAATAAACAAAATCTATTATGTGAATACAGAAAATAACAAAAGTAAGGTTGTTTCTTATTTCTAAAATTTCTGAAGTATTAAACAGGCCATTTGCAAACTCAGCAGACCAAAAATGCATATAAATATATCTTTACTAGGAAGAAATCAGATAACCTAAGATGAATCATTTTAAACTCAGGGTACTAAAGATTTACCTAAGGTTAAAGCAGAAATCAGAGAAAGAAAAATATTAAATTATTGGACTAGATATTTAATTCAGTTAGGTCCCCATCATAATTTGCTTTTTTAAAGTAGACTAATTGAAGCTGACTCAAAGTTCAAAAGAAAGAACAGAGTTTCAAAAAATACAAAATAAAACACTAGATGCTATATAAAGTTTATTTAAATCAATTAAAAATTTTAAAAAATAGTCTACCTGAATCGTCCTGGGCTTCATGAGTTTCACCATCATCTGTTACCTCTAATTCTTTCACAAAATTTGAGGGAAACAGTCCCAACTTGTTATTCAGGGTTCCACTCCACCAGCCTTCTTCTACCTGAAAAAGTTCACAATTCAAAAGCAAAAACAACTTCTGTTAAGTGAAAATCGTCACCCTATGGGAAAATTAAGCTGCAAAAGCAAACAGGCACAAAATTAGCACTATGAAATAAACCCTTTAAAATTTAAAACACAATGAAGAAAATATATTTTAAGTGGATTAAATTTTAGTGTATTACTCATATATGGGATTAATCATACATCAACAGTACTTCGCACATTTACAATGACAATTTGTAATCAATCGCAATCTATGAAGTACTTTTCATGAAAGTATCAGATAACCATATATACTGTATTAACAGCAAGAAGTACATAGCTTCTGGAATGTCACTCTTGTAAACACTACTAAGGCTTGATTTGTATATTATTTAAAGTATTTGGAAATTTTTTATTTGAAAAAAATTTGATGATTCTAAGAATATAACTTCCTGGCCAGGCACGGTGGCTCAGGTCTGTAATCCCAGCACTTTGAGAGCCCAAGGTAGGCAGACTGCTTGACCAGGAGTTTGAGATCAGCCTGGGCAACGTGGTGAAATCCCATCTCTAAAAAAAATACGAAAGTTAGCTGGGCATGGTGGTTCGCGCCTGTAGTCCCAGCTACTGGGGAGGCTGAGCCCAATTGTGGCACTGGACTCCAGCCCAGGTGACAGAGGAGACCCTGTCTCAAAAAAAGAAAAAAGAAAATAAACATAACTTCCTAAATGGCACAGAAAATTGCTAAACCTATTACTTGAGCAGTGATTCTTAGCTTAAGTATAATAATTTCCTACTTTTAAAAACCCAGATGTCAAGCTCCACTAAACACCTTCCTCCAAACAGATATATCCTCATGAATCAAACACTTCAGAAAAACATTTACACTTACCAATAAGATTACTCAATTTCTATGAAATTTTTAATATTTAATAACTTTAAAAATGTATAGTTTCTGATATGGATATTAAGGAGTGCTCACAGGTTAAAAACAATTTTTTAGGCCAGGTTCACTGGCTCTTGCCTATAATCCCAGCGCTTTGGAAGGCCAAGGCAGGCAGATCACCTGAGGTCAGGAGTTTGAGACCAGCCTGGCCAACATAGTGAAATCCCACCTCTACTAAAAATACAAAAAAAAAAAAAAAAAAAAAAAATTCACTAGGTGTGGTGGTGCACACCTGTAGTCCCATCTAGCTGGGAAGCTGAGGCAGGAGAATCAGTTGAACCTGGGAAGCGGAGGTTGCAGTGAGCTGAGATGGCGCCACTGCTCTCCATCCTGGGCAACATAGTGAGACTCCAGCTCAAAAAAAAAAAAACAAAATTTAAAAAAGAGTAAACTATTCACTGTCAAATTTTACTTAGCAGCACTACACACAATATAGCTAGAAAAAGATTTATTTCTTGTTTAAAATATTTTTAATTGTTTTCCATCTCATAAAAGGTAGGCAACCTTTTACTAAGTTAGTCATCTAACAGCCAATATGTGTTAGTCACAGTGTTAACTACTAGGGAAAGATTCAAACTTGCATATGAGAAATCCCTGTTCTTCAATAAAACACTTAAAGAAAAAATCAATAAGCAGATGGCTACAATACAATTTAAGAGGTACTATAACTAACATATGAACAAAATGCTGTTAGGAGCAAACAGAAAGGGCTTGAAAGAATAAAAAAAAAATGCTCCCCCCCAAAAGGAAATGACAAAAACAATGTGATATTAAAGGCTGAATAAAAGTAAAACTATAGTAACTTAAAAATAAATGATTTATTCATGGAAGGTATAGCTAAAATAAAAATGGGTGCTAGAATACAAGCTGTTTGGGGGAGAAAGGGAAGGCAGTAAAGCATGAAGTGACCAGAATTTTTATCAGACTTAAAGAAGCACCAAAGAACTGGAAGTGATCCAAACTAGATGTAGACCAAACTAGAATAAATACAACAAACGGAGAGAAACATCAGCTGTCTATTACCTATACCTGGAACCCCAACTGGCAACAACTGAGGAGTTAGGTTTAGGAGGCAGAGTAGTACAGTGGTAAAAAAATACACAAAAATAGACTGCATGACAATCTGCAATTGCAAAAATATAGAACCCGCCCAAATGCCCATCAATCAACAAGTGAATTTAAAAATATGTGGTGTGTATATATACACACACATCATGGAATACTACTCAGCCATAAAAAGGAACAAAATAATGGCATTTGCAGCAACATGGATGGAACTGGAGGCTATTATTCTAAGTGAAGTAACTCAAGAATGGAAAACCAATCATCGTATGTTCTCACTCATATGTGGGAGCTAAGCTATGAGGAAGCAAAGGCTTAAGAATGATACATTGGACTTTGGGGACTTGGGGGGAAAGAATGGGGGTGGCAAGGGATAAAAGACTACACATTAGGTACAGTGTGCACTGCTCAGGTGATGGGTGCACCAAAATCTCAGGAATCACCACTAAAGAATGTATTCATCTAACCAAACACCACCTGTTCCCCAAACACCTATTGAAATAAAAAAATTAAAAAATTTAAAAAAAACAGACTGCAAGGACTGAAATTCAGACTTAGATGGCTGTAAGAAGATCTCTCATCCTACAATTGTGACCTTGACACTCCTCCCACCAAGAAGTGGTGGTCTCTGTTCCCTACCCCTTAAATCTTGATGGCTTACGACTCACTTGTAACCAACAGATGCTAGTTTGTAAAGGGCAATAAAGCTAATATGTGCTGAAATGCTTGCACTTAAGAGCCGTGAACTGCCATATAGTAAGTCCGACGACCTTGAGATGCCTACACTGTAAGAGAGTCAACCCAAATGGAAAGGCTAACATAATGGCTCTCCAATTGGCAGTTACAGTCTTCAAGGTTTCTAGGCACCAGATATGTGAGTGAAAAAACCTTCCTATTATTCCAGGACACCCCACCATTGAATCTTTCCAGCTAAGGGCCCCACACAAGCCATTTGGGCTATACCCCATCTGAATTCTTGACTCACAGGCATAATACAACCGTTATTCTTTGCCACCAAGTTTGGGATGGCTTGGTATGCAACAACAGTAACTAAAACAGCCACCACTTATCTTCCTTGATTTAGTCTCTTCCTATGTACAATGGGGATAAAAATACCTATCTTCTTAGGTTTTTTAAAACTTTCAAGGATATAATAAATGTGAAACTCTCAGCACAATGCTTCAACCATAACATAAGCTCAAGAAATGTTAACTATTATTACTGCAACCAAGTGAAAATAAAATAGAACAGCCTTTGTATAAACACAATCTAAGTTTGTATAAACATAAAAACACTAGTGATAAATTACATTACAGGGTGTTTTGACACAAAATCAATCTGTGCTATAATACATGGTATCAAAACATACATGTTGAAAACATGACCTTCAACTGTGAAATTAAACTTTAATACTCCTTCAAATGATAAAAGCAGAGATGTAAAAAATTATTTTAAATTTTTTTTTCTTTTTTTTATTTCCATAGGTTATTGGGGAACCGGTGGTGTTAGGTTACATAAGTAAGTTCTTTAGTGGTGATTTGTGAGATTCTGGTGCACCCATCACCTGAGGAGTATACACTGCACCCAATTTGTAGTCTTTTATCCCTCATCCCCTTCCCACCCTCTTCCCCCGAGGCCCCAAAGTCCATTGTGTCATTCTTATGCCTTTGCATCCTCATAGCTTAGCTCCCACTTACAAGTGAGAACATATGATGTTTGGTTTTTCATTCCTGAGTTACTTCACTTAAAATAATAGTCTCCAATCTCATCCAGGTAGCTGCGAATGCCATGAAATCATTCCTTTTTATGGCTGAGTAGTATTCCAGCACATATATACATACCACGGTTTCTTTATCCACTCATTGACTGATGGGCATTAAGGTTGGTTCCACATTTTTGCAATTGTGAACTGTGCTGCTATAAACATGTGTGTGCAACTATCTTTTTCATATAATGAGTTCTTTTCCTCTGGGATTGTAGTGGGATTGCTGGATCAAGTGATAGTTCTACTTTTAGTTCTCAAATGAATCTCCACACTGTTTTCCATAGTGGCTGTACTAGTTTACATTCCCACCAGAAGTATAGAACTGTTCCCTGTTCACCACATTCACACAAACATCTATTTTTTTTTTAATGGTCATTCTTGCAGGAGTAAGGTGGTATCACATTGTGGTTTTGATTTGCATTTCCCTGATAATTGGTGATGTTGAACATGTCTTCATGTTTGTTGGCCATTGCATATCTTCTTTTGAGAACTGTCTATTAGGTCTTTAGCCCACTTTTTGATGGGATTGTTTTTTTCTTGCTAATTTGTTGGAGTTCATTGTAGATTCTGGATAGTAGTCCTTTGTCAGATGTATAGATTGTGAAGATTTTCTCCCACTCTGTGGTCTGTTTACTCTGCTGACTGTTTCTTTTGCCATACAAAAGCTCTTTAGTTTAATTAGGTCATAGCTATTTATCTGTTTTTAGTGCATTTGCTTTTGGGTTCTTGGTCACAAAATCCTTGCCAAAGTCAATGTCTAGAAGGGTTTTTCCAATGTTATCTTCAAGAACTGTTACAGTTTCAGGTCTTAGATTTAAGTCCTTGATCCATCTTGATTTGATTTTTGTATAAGGTGAGAGATGAGGATCCAGTTTCATTCTCCTGCATGTGGCTAGCCAATTATTCCAGTGCCATTTGTTGAAAAGGATGTCCTTTCCCCACTTTTTGTTTTTGTTTGCTTTGTCGAAGATCAGTTAGCTGTAAGTATTTGGGTTTATTTCTGGGTTCTCTATTCTGTTCCATTGGTCAATATGCCTATTTTTATACCAGTACCATGCTGTTTTGGTGACTGTGGCCTTATAGTATAATTTGAAATCAGGTAATGTGAGGTCTCCAGATTTGTTCTTTTTGCTTAGTCCTGCTTTGGCTATGCAGGCTCTTTTTGGTTCCATATGAATTTTAGAATTGTTTTTTCTAATTCTGTGAAGAATGATGGTGGTATGTATAGGAATTCTGTTGAATCTGTAGATTGCTTTTAGCAGTATGGTCATTTTCACAATACTGATTCTACCCATCCGTGACCATGAGATGTGTTTCCATTTGTTTTTGTCGTCTATTTCTTTCAGCAGGTTTTTGTAGTTTTTCTTGTTGAGGTCTTTTGACTCCTTGGTTAGGTATATTCCTAAGCATCTTATTTTTTTTTTTTTTTTTTTTGCAGCTATTGTAAAAGGCGTTGAGTTCTTGATTTGATTCTCCACATGACTGCTGTTGGTATATAAAAGAGCTACTGATTTGTGTACATTAATTGTGTACCCGGAAACTTTGCTGAATTCTTTTCTCAGTTCTAGGAGCTTTCTGAAGGAGTCTTTAGGGATTTCAAGGTAAACGATCATATCATCAGCAAACAGTGACAGTGTGACTTCCTCTTTACCAAGTTGGATGCCCTTTATTTCTTTCTCTTGTCTAATTGCTCTGGCTAGGACTTCCAGTACTATGTTGAAGAGGAGTGGTGAGAGCAGGCATCCTTGTCTTGTTCCAGTTCTCAGAGGGAATGCTTTCAATTTTTCCCCATTCAGTATTATGTTGGCTGTGGTTTTGCATAGACGGCTTTTATTACACTGATGTATGTCCCTTATATGCCAATTTTGCTGAGAGTTTTAATCATAAAGTGATGCTGGATTTTGTCTAATGTTTTTTCTGCATCTATTGAGATGATCATGTGATTTTTGTTTTTAATTCTGTTTATGTGACATATCATATTTACTGACTTGCGTATGTTAAACTATCCCTGCATCCCTGATATGAAACCCACTTGATCGTGGTGTATTATCTTTTTGATATGTTGTTGGATTCAGTTAGCTAGTACTTTGTTTAGGATTTTAGCATCTATATTCATCAGGAATATTGGTCTGTAGTTTTCTTTTTTTGTTATGTCCTTTCCTGGTCTTGGTATTAGGATGATACTAGCTTCACAGAATGATTTAGGGAGGGTTCCCTCTCTCTATCTTGTGAAACAGTGTCAACAGGATTGGTACCAATTATTTGAATGTCTGGTAGAATTCTGGTGTGAATTCGTCTGGTCCTGGATCTTTTTTGTTGTTGTTGGTAATTTTTTAATTACCACTTCAACCTCGCTGCCTGTTATTGTTCTGTTCAGCATATGTAATTCTTCCTGATTTAATCAAGGAGGATTGTATCTTTACAGGAATTCAGCCATCTCCTCTAGGTTTTCTAGTTTATGTGCAGAAAAAAGTTCACAGTAGCCTTGAATGACCTTTTGTATTTCTGTGGTGTCAACTGTAATATCTCCTGCTTTGTTTCTAACTGAGCTTATTTGGATTTTCTCTCTTCTTTTCTTGGTTAACCTTGTTAATGGTCTATCAATCTTATTTATCTTTTCAAAGAACCAGTTTTTTGTTTCATTTATCTTTTGTATTTTCTGTTTGTTCCAATTTCACTTAGTTCTGCTCTGATCTTGGTTATTTCCTTTCTTCTGCCGAGTTTGGGTTTGGTTTGTTCTTCTTTTTCTCGTTTCTTGAGGTGCCCTTAAATGGTCTGTGCTCTTTCACAGTCTTTGATGTAGGCATCAACTTTTAACTTTTAAGTTGACTTTTAAGTTAAAAGTTAGGTTATTAACTTTCCTCTTAGCACTGCCTTTGCTATCCCAGAGGTTTTGAAAGGTGTGTCACTATTGTCGTTCAGTAAGAAGAATTTTTTAATTTCCATCTTGATTTCATTTCTGACCCAATGATCATTCAGGAGTAAGTTATTTAATTTCCACGTATTTGCATGGTTTTCAAGGCTCCTTTTGGAGTTGATTTCCAGTTTTATTTCGCTGTGGTGTGAGAGAGTGCTTGATATAATTTCAATTTTCTTAAATTTACTGAGGTTCACTTTGTGGCCTATCATATGGTCTATCTTGGAGAAAGAACATGCACTGTTGAATAGAATGTATATTCTGTGGTGGTTGTGTAGAATGTTGTATAAGTATTTGTTAACTCCATTTGTTCCAGGGTATAGTTTAAATTCACTGTTTCTTTGTTGACTTTGTCTTGATGACCTGTCTAATGCTGTCAGTGGAGTATTGAAGTCCCCCACTATTATTGTCTTACTATCTCATTTCTTAGGCCTATTACTAATTGTCTTATAAACTAAAGAGCTCCAGTGTTAGGTGCATATATATATATAGAATTGTGATACTTTCTTGTTGGACAAGGCCTTTTAACATTATGTAATGTCCCTCTTTGTCTTTTTAAACTGCTGTTGATTTAAAGTTTGTTTTGTCTGATATAAGCATAGCTACTCCTGCTGTCCATTTGCATGAAATGTCTTTTTCTACATCTTTAAGTTTATGATTCCTTATGTGTTAAGTGAGTCTCTTGAAGGCAGCAGAGGGTTGGTGAATTCCTGTCCATTCTGCAATTCTGTATATGTCAAATGGAGCATTTAGGCCATTTACACTCAACATTAGTATTGACATGTGAGACACCATTCCATTCATCATGGTATTTGTTGCCTATATACCTGAGTTTTTTTGTTTTTTGTCTTTGTTTTTTAACTTCTATTTTTGTTTTATAGGTCCTGTGAGATTTATGCTTCAAAGAGGTTCTGTTTTGATGTGTTTCTAGGATTTGCTTCAAGATTTAGAGCTCCTTTTAGCAGTTCTTGCAGTACTGGCTTCGTAGTAGTGAATTCTCTCAGCATTTGTTTGTCTGAAAAAGACTGTATGTTTCCTTCATTTATGAAGCTAAGTTTTGCTGGATACAAAATTCTTGGCTGATAATTGTTTTGTTGAGGAGGCTCAAGATAGAAAATCCCTTCTAGCTTGTATGGTTTCTGCTGAGAAATCTGCTGTTAATTTGATAGACTGTCCTTTATAGGTTACCTGGTACTTCTGCCTCACAGCTCTTAAGATTCTTTCCTTCATCTTAACTTTAGATAACCTGATGACAATGTGCCCAGGTGATAATCTTTTTGTGATAAATTTCCCAGGTGTCCTTTGAACTTCCTATATTTGGATGTCTAGGTCTCTGGCAAGGCCGGGGAAGTTTTTCTGATTATTCCCCCAAATATGTTTTTTAAACTTTTAGATTTCTCTTCTTCCTCAGGAAAGCCAATTATAACGTGATGATAATGTGCCCAGGCAATAATCTTTTTGTGATAAATTTCCCAAGTGTTCTTAAACTTCTTATATTTGGATGTCTAGGTCTGTAGCAAGGCTGGGTAAGTTTTTCTGATTATTCCCCCAATTTTTTTTTTAAACTTTTAGATTTCTCTTCTTCCTCAAGAAGGCCAACTATTCTTACGTTTGGTCGTTTAACATAATCCCAGACTTCTTGGGGGCTTGGTTCATATTTTCTTATTCTTTGTCTTTGTTGGATTGGGTTAATTCAAAAACCTTGTCTTTAAGCTCTGAAGTTATTTCTTCTGCTTGTTCAATTCTATTGCTGAAACTTCCCACAGCATTTTGCATTTCTGTAAGTGCATCCATTGTTTCCTGAAGTTTTGATTATTTTTTATTTATGGTATCTATTTCATTGAATATTTCTCCCTTCACTTCTTGTATCATTTTTTTGATTTCCTTAAACTGGGCTTCATCTTTCTCTGATGCCTCCCTGATTAGCTAAATAACTTACCTTCTGAATTCTTTTTCAGGTAAATCAGGGATTTCTTCTTGGTTTGGATACCTTGCTGGTGAGCTAGTGTGATTTTTGGGGAATGGTAAAGAACCTTGTTTTGTCATATTACCAGAGTTGGTTTTCTGATTCCTTCTCATTTGGGTAGGCTCTGTCAGAGGGAAGTGTAGGGCTCAAGGCTGTTCAGTTTCTTTTTGTCCCATGGGGTGCTCCTTTACGTAGTACTCTCCCTCTTTTCCTAGGGATGTGGCTTCCTGAGAGTTGAACTGTAGAGATTATCTCTCTTCTGCCACAGAGCAAGTCTACCAGGCTCCGGGCTGGTACTGGGGGTTGTCTGCACAGAGTCCCGTGATGTGAACCATCCGTGGGTCTCTTAGCCGTGGATACCAGCACCTGCTCTGGTGGAAGTGGTGGTTGGGACCAGCGGGCGGGGTATTGAAATGAACTCTGTGAAGGTCCTTAGCTCTGGCTGTTTAATGCACTATTTTTGTGCTGGTTGGTCTCCTGCTGGGAGATGGCACTTTCAAGAGAGCATCAGCTATGTAGTATGGGGAGGAACAGGTGATAGGCTGGGCCTTAGAGCTCCCAAGAGTATATGCCCTTTGTCATCAGTTACTAGGGTGGGTAGGAAAGGACCATTAGGTGCGGGCGGGGCTAGGCATTTCTGATCTCAGACTCTCCTTGGGTGGATCTTGCTGTGACTGAGCATTTGGGGTGTCTCCCAGGTCCTACTGGAGCAGTTTGCTTCCTTCAGAGGGTCTGTGGGTTCTCTCGGCTTTCCTAACATATTCCTGCAGTCGTTCTGGAGCAAAAGTTCACAATGTGAGCCTCCACATGCTGCTCTGTCTATCCCAGTGGGAGCTGCAGTCTAGTCCTGCCTCCTGTCCATGATCTATTTTTAAAATATTTTAAAATCCCATTCTAAGATATCAAAATATAGGAAAGTATTTTTATTAATATTTGAATGTGATAATTCAAACAAGGCAAAGCGTTTAAAAAGATTTTGCTTTGTATTCCTTCTAAGGCAAAATTCCTTCTATTTCACTGCTTTTTGCCTATGGTAAATTCAGAATCAAAGAAAAGGCTTGTTTACGTTCTTAACTACTTAGATTTCATTAATTTTTAGCTTTAAGGGGGCATTTTTATTCCTAAAGGCAGGAAATACAAATACATATATAAATACAGCAAGGATGAGTAAAGAAACTCTATACCATTTTTTTTAAAAAGTGACAACAGTTCTCACAAAAGACTAATATTCTTACAATTAATTTTTCTAAAATCCATAGCATCAATTACCATTACTGTTTTACCTGTAACACATTTTTTCCTTACCTCTTCATTAATATCAATAATATCTCCCACTTTCAGCTCCAGTTCATCCTCATTTTGTGGAATGTACTCAAAAAGAACTTTACACTGACGCTTCTTGGTCTCTAAAGAAAGTAACATAATAAGAAATTAGATTAAGAATGATCATTTTTAAAAACAGTATATTTACATGCCATGTTTAGTCACAGGACTTATATAAATAAATAAAAACAGAACGTATGAGCATTCTAAACAGCTAATCACAATCAGCCCTGGTTAGCTTTTTACCCCAAGCCCCAAACTACAAATATTAAGGCTTCAGGCAATAAAATCTCTTTATACATCTTATCCCACCATTTACACAAAAGCAAAATATCCAAATACCCATTACCATTTTTGAGACTAAAAAAACCGACAATAAAAGACACTTCTGGCACAACAAATTCATCATAGACAAGTCCTCTAGGCTAGTGATTTTCAGACTACTTCCTAATCAAGTCTGGGAATACTACTTAAAATTAGTACTTTTACGACTATAGAAAGAAGCAGTAAGATGTACAAATTTCAAATTTATTTTATCTTCTTTAATAACTATTTTCAGACAGCTAAAAATGAAACTCATTTATTTGAAGATAATTTTACTTTAGCTTTTCAAACAAGCTTCATTTATTCAGAAGTGATCATTTATAACCATTCGCGCTTGTGTTCTCAACCTTTTTCAAGCTCTAAGAACTGAGAACTCAGACTCACTCCCATCTTCAAAAGTGAATCATTAAGCAGCTATGGGTAGATGATCAGGAATAGTTGACTACTTCTTGATACTCAAAGTGTGTTTCTTAAACCAGCAGCAACAGTGTAACCTGGGAGCTTGTGAGATATGTAGTATCTCAAGCTCCACCCCACATCTACTTACTAGGAACTGAATAAAAAGTTCCCTCGAAATTCATATATTGAAACCCTAACACCCAATGTGTCTGGCAATAGTGCCTTTGTGGGGGTGGTAAATAGGGTTAAATGAGGTCCTAAGGGTAACACCCTAATGAGATAGGACTAGTATCCTTACAAAAGAGGAAGAGACATCAGCCCACCATTGCCCTCCCCAACCCTCCAATACAAAGGAAAGACCAAGTGAGAAAACAAGGAGACAGTGGTCCTCTACAAGCCAGAAGAGGGGCATCACCAGAAACCAACCCTGACAGTATCTTGATCTTGGACTTCTAATCGTCCAAAACTGTGAGAAGATAAATCTGATGTTTAAGCTACTAAGTCTGTGGTATTTTGTTATGGTAGCCCTAGCAGACTGAATTTTGAATCAGAGTGTGCACTTTAACAAGATCCCTAGGTGGTTCTCAATCTTGTACCCAATAATTCAGTCACCCTGATCTTTAATTCCTTGAAAATGGAATACCCTATTCCATCTCACACTTAAATGTATTGTTTCTTTTGTCAAGGAAATTTACTTTCATCCACGAAGCCCACCTTCAACTCATCTTCACTTCTCAGCTTAGAAGACACTCCCAAATAGCTTTCTTTTTCTTTTTTTTCTTTTTTCTTTTTCTTTTTTTTTTTTTTTTTTTTTTTTGAGACAGTCTTGCTCTGTTGCCCAGGCTGGAGTGCGGTGGCGCAATCTCAGCTCGCTGCAACCTCCACCTCCCGAGTTCAAGCGATTCTCCTGCCTCAGCCTCCTGAGTAGCTGGGATTACAGGTGAGCGCCACCACGCCCAGCTAATTTTTGTATTTTTAGCAGAGGCAGGGTTTCACCATGTTAGTCAGGCTGGTCTCAAACTCCTGACCTCAGGTGATCCACCTGCCTGGACCTCCCAAAGTGCTAGGATTACAGGCGTGAGCTACCATGCCCAGCCACAAATAGCTTTCTAAATTAAATAATCTTCTTTTGTGCTACTCTAGCACCCTGTACTTACCACCCCCTATTCGCTTCTGCAATCCACCCAGCACCTAGCATAGGGCCAGGCTTATTCTAGGTATCTGATATGGTTTATTTGTGCTGCTATAACAAAATACCTGAGACTAGGTAATGAAGATAGTATAAATTTACTTCTCACTTTTCTGGAGTCTGAGAAATCCAAGATCAAAGTGCCAGCAGATTTTATATCTGGTGAGGGCCCTCTTGCTATGTCATCACATGTCAGAATGGCAAAAAAGGGCCTAAGCTAATACCCTCCTGCCCTTTCATAAGGCACTAACCCATTCATGAGAGCACAGCCCTCATGACTTATTCATTTCTCAAAAAGATCCTACCTATTAATATCACCACAATGGAAATTAAATTTCAACATGAATTTTGGAAAGAACCATAATTCAAACTACAGCAGTATCTGCTACATATTTTTGAATGAATTAATAAACAAATATCTAGGTCTAACTATATGGCATCATTGTCAACCAATATTATCACAAGAGTGTCTACACTCCATCAGTAGCCTATCACCAACAATCCTAACAAGATTTTTCTTAATAATTTAAATGCACACTTAACAGAACTTGAGAAGAAAACATGCATACTAGAAAAAAATTAGTGATAAAACTTGAATACATAATGAGAGTAAAATATTTAATATAAACTACAAATATTTCAAAAATTAGAAAGGACAGGTTTGAACTGGAGCAGATATGGAAGGCTTCAAAGAAGAAATAAGAGTTACACAATGAAATATGAGTAAGATACAAGAAGGTGGGACAGATGTGGCAGATATTCTAGAGCAAGGAAAACAGTTTTACTAACAAAGTAGGATTTGGTGATACAAGGACTCTAAGGAGAGAGGACAACAAAGGAGAATCCTAAGAAGTAATCTGGACAGGAAGAATTTCACTGCATCAAATCATGATCTCCAAATAAACTCTTTGTAAAGAAAGATGTCATGCTACAATAGAAATATCAGCTGTACTGGAAGTCAGAAGACTTATGTTCTTGTACAGTTGTCATTACCTAGTTATTTCACTGAAATTCTCTAGGAATCAATTTCCTGGGCCATAAAATTACAATGCGGAACTAGAAAACCACTACAGTTACCTCAGCTCTGACATTCTGTGAATCTACGAAATTGTTTATCAAGACAAAAAGTAATCTAACTTCACCCCCAAAACAACAAAAGAAGCACACTACATGCAACCAATAGCATGGAAAGGTACAAAACAGAGATAACCATCAAGTAGATAAAATAATTGAGTCTCCAAATAAGAAAGTTACATCTGTGTAAGGTTTTTTCCCCTTCCTAAAGCAATTAATAATTTGTATCTGATTTTTTATTGTAGTTTTTATAATAAAAGAAGCCAAAGAAAGCAAACAGACTGGACGTGGAGGCTCATGCCTGTAATCCCAGCACTTTGGGAGGCCGAGGCAGGCGGATCATGAGGTCAGGAGATCAAGACCATCCTGGCTAACATGGTGAAACCCCATCTCTACTAAAAATACAAAAAAATTAGCCGGGCGTGGTGGTGGGTGCCTGTAGTCTCAGCTACTCAGGAGGCTGAGGCAGGAGGATGGCATGAACCTGGGAAGCGGAGCTTGCAGTGAGCTGAGATCGTGCCACTGCACTCCAGCCTGGGCAACAGAGCAAGACTCCGTCTCAAAAAATAAAAAAAAGGAAAAAGAAAGTGAACAGTAACCATAATTTTTTAACTAACCTAGAGTTCACAGTAAAATTTTTCACATTTCACCTTTCACCAGACCTCACGGTAAATTTTTAAGTAATTTAAATAGTTTTTTGCGTGCTATAGGAAAACTTCTCATCTCTTGAAATATAGTGTCCCTAAATACCTTTGCAAGTTGTTCCAGTGACCTTGAGAAACTGTGTTCATTAATGTGTTATTTGCAGTTAGCACTTCATAGACAAGAGGCAAACAATCCATATTATTGAAAAGAAATGTCTATTTTGTTCAAGGTGCTCTTATAAGAATAAAATCCTTTCTTTCTGATAATTTCAGACCTTTTTTAAAATGTGGTTTCTTTTTCATGAATTTTAATATCTCTTAAAATTGGACTTAAGGTGAAATGGACTACTCATTAGCCCCAACCCAGGCAAGTCAATGAAGTCTGAGCAGCCTAGTTATATTTTACCCAAGAGCTTTATTTCTTCCTCTCACACTAAACATAATTTTTCCCAAGTAGTTTGTATTAACAGAATCATTTGCAAAAAATGAAAAAAAAAGATTTAATCAAAGGAAGGAGTCACATTAGATAAAAACATCTAAATAGCTATTATTACCACAAATTATGAGTCATTTATTTTAAAAAGAAAAAAATAATTCCACATTATTTCATATTTAAATAGGGTTCACTCATAAATTGAGGTGACTGCCTATATTGAATCCATCCATTAATTTAACTGCCAGCACAATTAAGGGGGCACTTTGAGATTTTTCACATTTCAAACTGCACAAAGTCAATAAATGTTAATTTCTATAATGTATCAGAACCCATGCTAAGCACAAAAAAGAAGAGAGGTGTCAATAAAAGGATACATGAAATTAAGTCCATTTTAAAAAAAACACTGTAACTAGTATTTTTTCTTTTTTCTTTTTTTTTTTTTTTTTTTGAGACAGGGCCTCACTCTGTCACCCAGGCAGTAGTAAGAACTCTGTTCACTGCAATCTCTGCCTCCCAGGCTCAAGCAATCCTCCCACCTCAGCCTCTCAAGTAGCTGGGACCACAGGCGCTCACCACCATACTGGGCTAATTTTTGTATTTTTTTTTTTGTAGAGATGGGGTTTGCCATGTTGCTCAGGCTGGTCCTGAACTCCTGGGCTCAAGTGATCCACCCACCTCAGCCTCCTAAAGTGCTGGGATTACAGGTGTGAGCCACCACACTCAGCTATTAGTATTTTCTTATCATAAGTAACCTTTAATACTTTCCAGTTCTACAAAAAAATTAATTGTACAAAAATTGTCTTCTAAAAATCATTATATAAGTAAAGCTACTAACAAGGAAGAGAATAAAGGAGGTACAGCAAAGGCGGGGACATACTGCATTTCTTTCATGTACCAGCACTATTCTAAATTCTTCACATCTCCCACACAACAAAGCATTAACACTCACTATCTCATTTACCAATGAGAAAAAAAGGAAATAAAAAGTTAAATAATCCATCAAAGACTACATAGCTAAAATGAGGCAAAACTAAAATTATATCCATTTCTGGAATATTATGCCCACTTCTAAGCCTTCTATCTTTCCACTATAGTATGCTGTCTCCTTTACAGATTACACAGTACTTTGACATAGCTCATACAGTCTAGTCACACTGGATTTTTACTCCTCAAAAATACCATATACTTGCTTATTTCTGTGGGTCTGCCAAAGGCTGCATTTCTTCCTTGAATGCTATTCTCCCAATCTCCATGTGCTTGTATGTCCTACCTAAAGAAGAGCTTCAATATACTCTGCTTGACAACCCCAGTACAAAATTACCTTTTCATCTAAATTATCACTACACATATGTCTCTCATACAGTTCTGAGTTTACAGTATAAAACACCAGAATAACTGTAAACATTTATCAAGCACTTACAATTACTTAACATGTTAATGCCTCTTATAGCCTACAAGAAAATTATGACTATCATCTCTATTTTATAGTAACTTGATGTTCGCCCCTGCTAGACTGTGAATTCTGAATCATCCTCCATACCCAGCTTTATGTGGCAGATTTAATTAATTGCCTAGACCAATATTGTTTCTCATGATCATACTACTCACAGATACAAAGGCATTTGACACACAAGAGTTCAAAAATTTCAGAAAACTTTACAAGTTTAGTATTTTTAAAAAAACAAAACCAAATTGTGTGAAATTTCAGACTCAGTAAGGTTACTGCCCTTGTTCTTTTTCTAATAAAACAGAAAATCTCTAATTTCTAAATGTGAGTCATCAAGAATAGTTAGGTATTTCATGTCTGAAAAATAGATGTAAATATTCAGATCAAACAAAGCTCTTAAATTATGAAACCATTTCTCACTGAAGACTGTTTTTAATGTTTCCATCAAATGCTACAATAAGAGCATACCCCAATAAGAAGTGGGAGGTTGAATGCTAAAACTTCAGAACAGCAAAAGGATTTTTGACCCAATTTTTGGTTCCAGTTGGCTCTGGAAAAAAATATCTTCAGGTTTTATTAAAGCATTAAAATTTATTTAATTAGTCAATTTTTAAAATAAAGTTCTTTCTCCACCAGGCGCAGTGGCTTATGCCTGTAATCCCAGCACTTTGGGAGGCCGAGGCAGGTGGATCACCTGAGGTCAGGAGTTCGAGACCAGCCTGACCAACAAACATGGTGAAACCCTGTCTCTACTAAAAATACAAAAGGTAGCCAGGCATGGTGGTGCACGCCTGTAATCCCAGCTACTTGGGACGTTGGGGCAGGAGAATCGGTTGAACCTGGAAGGCGAAGGGTGCAGTGAGCCGAGATCATGGCACTGTACTCCGTCCTGGGTAAGAAGAGCGAAACTCTGTCTCAAAAAATAAATAAATAAAATAAAATAAAAATCAATTTATTTCTTCAATAAGCAAATAATCAAATGTTATGAGAAACACTGATTCGGCCATTTTACATGAATGATGAATGAATACATCATTTTCATGTAATGAAATATTCATTACATGAATACATGACATATGTATCAATCAGCCATTCATACAGTCGTATCTTTTTAAAAAATTTTCTTGCCCGGAGCAGTGGCTTGGGTCTGTAATCCCAGCATTTTGGGAGGCTGAGGCGGGCAGATCACTTGAGGCCAGGAGTTTGAGACCAGCCTTGCCAACATGGTGAAACCCCATCACTACTAAAAATAGAAAAAATTAGCCAGGTGCAGTGGCGTGTTCCTGTAATTCCAGCTACTGGGGAGGCTGAGGCTGCAGTGAGCTGAGATTGTGCCAATGAACTCCAGCCTGAGACTCTGTATCCAAAAAAAAAAAAAATTCTCATCCTTAGCAATAAAAAAATCGTAATGCTTAGGCCATTAAGTGAAAGGCTCAAACTGTTCAAGATACTGCCTACTTTGCTGAGATGTTCTACTTAAGACACTCAATATTTTAGAAAATCTTCATTATCACTATCATGAAGAAAAAGATAATGTGATCAGAGGTAATGTATTATGTCTGTAGCATACTTTCAACTGATTCCATTAAAAAAGTATATGTATATTAAGATAAAGCCAATGTGAGAAAATGTTAACAGCATATGTAGGTGAAGGGTATACTATGTTCACTGCACAATTATTCCTTCAACTTTTCCAGATATTTTAAAATTTTCCAAATAAAATAGAAAGTTAGAACAGCCTACCCTGTTCAAGAGGGTAGGGTGTTCTAACCCCAAGATGATCTAGTCATTTGAGTGAGTCTTTTTCTCCTTACCAGTCAGAATACTTCAATGTCAAAGAGCCACCATGAACCAACACACTCATTTTTTCAAAAGGTATGCTGCAAAGATGCATAGTCAGTGGACATAATCTGACAGCATTCAGAATGTTACTATTTTCTTCAGCACTGACTCAAAATAAGAAAGCATACTATTTGCTACCCAAAGGTTTTATGGGAGTGAAGTAATGTGTAGACTGGCATTGTTTCAACTAGCTTTTCATGTGCAACATCATCCCTTGCAGTATAAACACTAGTGATCTATCAGTATCAATCTCAATGTATCTTTTACACTCAAAATAATTAACTACATGAAAAATCACTTCTGCTGTAGCGTGAGTTTCCACTACTAAGGAAAATACAATTAGCAAACACTATGTATTGCCTCACGTGTGCCAAGAGATTTCATCTGGTATCAGTTTCTTCCAAATGTAAAGTGAAACATCTACCAATATTCCACGCTGACTGCTAATATTCTGATGCTGAAACACGTCAATTTATTTACTCTCTAAACACAATATTTTACCATTATCTTTGTGGCTGATTTTACAAGGGTGTCAGAAGTAATGTGACTTGCAACCTGTTTTTGCTTTGAGAAATGCACATTTGTTCTCTTCTCTGACTTTAGCAACTTACAGTAATCAACTTTTTCCTGAGAAACACTATTCCATGTTTGCTCTAAAAAAAATTAATACTTCTTTGTTTTACCAAATGAGCTACCATGCTTAGCAATGGATCATAGCAAAAGTTTTCACGGCTTCATTACTATCCCAAAAAAGCCAATATACTGGAGACTAGAGAAGAATAGCTCACTAGTCCAATCCAGTTTTTGGATACTCAACATCATTATACTTATTTGAACCTCTCCTTTGTAGTTGCTTAGACAAAATTCAACACATACACAGATTCATTTTGTCTTGGCACACAGGGATTTAAACTGAACATATACACTGCAGTGTTTACACTATTAACCTTATGTTAATACAATGGTTTTGGGTTTTTTTAAATTAATATTAATAGTACTGGTTAGTTGTATCCTGCTACTATGTAACAATACAATGAGCCACTTTTAAATAAGTGATCTATTTTGGGAATTAGAGATATGATCCAAACAGTAACAAAAAAAAAAAAATCAAGTTTAATAAACATAAAATAATACATAAATGACAGGAAAACAGAAAAGCAAAAACAATTTGCATCCTGTTTTAAATGTTAGCTGACACTAAATAACCAATATAGTCCTTGCAGCACATGTACTTTAAAAACAAGTTATGGAAGATCCTTAGGAAAAAAAGGCCTAAGCTTCCTGGCACCAACTGCATAATGATTTTTCCTTCTTACAAGAGAAAAGAATTTACATCCAGTGTTCTTACGAAAGGCAAAATTTACTGTATCCTTTCCTATTAGAAGAGAAAGTGAAAAAATATTCAGAACCTTCAACCTCTTTGTCTAACTTCTACTTAAGAAGAAACTTATCCCTTTATAGCTCCCTAGAGTGAAAGAAAGTTGTAAATGGATTTTACTATGGACAGAGGTCATGAAAAAACCTCCCGTGGGCCTAAAAATTCTCCCTCAGCACAGACATTCTATATAGAGGTTCAGCTGTATGATATAAAACTGTTATTTGTCCCCCAGTCTCCAAGCAGTTTCAGAATTCATCATCATCAGAACTGCTGAAACCATCCACCTTCAGGCAATAATGCTAGAAAGCAGTATATATAATATGCAAATATTCCCTGGATATTGTATTTCCTTGAGAAACAAAGAACAAATAGAACCCTAGAATTGGTCCAAGTGTCATAAAATCTGTTTCATTTTTATGACAACCTGTTTTTATTTTATGAAAATAATCAAAGGATGATGTAATCCAAAAGTAGAGGTTTCCCCAAACTTGACAGACAACAGCTTATGAAAGTAATAGACTGAGACATAAGGGGACTCTATAAAAATTATTAATAGCCTTACAATTACAATTTGGGAAATGTATGTAAACAAAATTTCTTTATTGTAGAATATTTTGTACTACAGGGATTTATACACCATAATTTCAAAGACATTAAAGTAAATGTGATTAAATATTCATTAACTATTAACCCATTTATGCCAGAGGTTGCAGTTTTTTGAATTTTTGCAATCAGACCTTGGCAATGACCTTGAACAGCAGGATAGTAATAACTCCTACATTCTTAGCATTCCAATAATGGGACACTAGGCATAGATGGGTTAAATCAAATTGACCATAGTAATAAGTATGCAATCTCTAGGCTAGCATGGTGGCTCACGTCTGTAATTCCAGCACTTTGGGAAGCCAATGGGGGCAAATCACTTGAGCCCGGGAGTTCAAGAACAGCTCAGGCAACATGGCAAAACCCCATCTCTTCAAAGAAAAATACAAAAATTAGCAGACGTGGTGGCACACACCTGTAGTCACAGCTACTCAGTAGCCTGAAATGGGAAAACTGCTTGAGCCTGGGAGGTCAAGGCCGCAGTGAGCTGTGACTGCACCACTGCAGCCAGGACAACAGAGTGAGAGTCTATCTCAAAAAAAAAAAAAAGTATTCAATCTCTGAAGGGTCTTCTGGTTTTACTGTGTTAAAACATTTGCTATGTGCTCCCATAACACCGTAATTCTTTGTACACGTTTAATATTTTACACTTTTTAAATAACAGTTTCTTTTGTTTTTTGGAGCAGAGACTGGAGTGCAATGGCAGATCTCGGCTCACCTCCCGAGTTCAAGTGATTCTCCTGCCTCAGTCTCCCAAGTAGCTGGAATTACAGGCAAGTTCCTCCACGCCCGGCTAATTTGTATATTTAGTAGAGATGGGGTTTTACTATGTTGGTCAGGCTGGTCTCGAACTCCTGACCTCAGGTGATCCACCTACCTAGGCCTCCCAAAGTGCTGGGATTACAGGAGTGAGCCACTGCACTTGGCCTTAAATAACAATTTCTTTTCCAAGAATGTAAGCTCTTTGAGAACAGCAATATTACCTGGTGTTTTTTGTTTTGTTTTGCTTTTTTTCTTAACCACTTTCTCACTAGCAGCAAATAAAACTCAACAGTTTAAATGATCTTTCTGAGGTCATAAGACAGACTCAAACCCTTATCTGATTTCAAATGTAATGCTCTCCTTCTTTGCCAAGTTGTTCCCCTAACATATTTACACAGTACCAAATCCTTACAAGGTAATTTGCAAGGCCAACCACCTTGGAAATGTTTATGTTCAGATGTTTAACAACTGAAGAAAAAGCACTATCAAAATTCTTGTATCTATGCTAAGAATCAGCAGATATTTCAGAATCCCACTAAATAAATGGTATTAAAATATAGTTAAGGTAAAATGGTAATCATTCAGCAGAGTCTGAAAGATAAATAAGAAAACAGAGCCTCATGCTTTAATTTATAATGATATTGATTTGTTATTGATTGCACATGACTAAAAATTAAGATTGACTACACAGGGCAATAACTAGTAACATGAGACTTTGCAGGAAGTTACTGTAGTTGTCTACAAAAGACTGAACTAATTTTTCTTAATTTAGACACAGTTATAAAATATCCTTCTATTTTGATGTAATTATGCAGGAAAGGAATTATTTACATACTCTTCTTAATGTTTTTGGTTTGTGGATGTGGCTGAATTCCTCCAGCTGGAAGTCCATAGGTGCTTATTCGTTGTACAAGACTTGCTACATTCCCATGCCTTTCCCGTTTGATGGGCAAACTGTCATCCTTGAATTCCGTCTCTCTTTTAATTTCCTACAAAAGGGAAAATAAATAAAGAGGCAAGTTAAGTTATATTTTTTATATTAAATCCTCAAATGTAAAATACCAAAAAATAGCTACAGTAATTACTATATAAATCATAATATCAATAGTTTCCAACCTTTGCTCTGCTCAAACATATCTGAAGAATAAAACACATTTTGGTAACAGTGACTCATGAGTTTAAGTTTTATCAGAACTGGAGATGAAGATAAAGGAAAGAGAGGCTCAAACCCCACCCCGACCACTCACCCCAACTACAAAGAAACACTGAGATACAAAGACAAACAATAATTCAAAGTCAGGGGTAAACAAACTTTCTATAAAGTGCCAGATAGTAAATATTTTACAATTTGCAGACCATACACTTTCTGTTGCAACCATCAACACTCCTATGTGTGGTATAAATGCAGTCAGATATTTAAATGAATGAATATAACTATGTTCCAATAAAACTTTATTTATAGACACTAAAATTCTAATTTCAAATAATTTTATATGTCATATTATCCTTTTGATTTTTTCCAACCATTTATAAAATTCTCAGCATTCTTAGCTCATGGGTCTTACAAAAACAGGTGGTATTCAGACTTGTCCTGTGGGCTGGTAGTTTGATAGCCCCTGATCTAAGTCATGGCTATAAAATAAGACATGTGAACCATCATGGAAAAGTATAAAATTTTACTGGAAGACATGAAGACAAAAACAAAGTTATGCCATATTTAGTAACTGAAAACTCAGTATCATAAAAATATATCAGTTCTCCCTTAAAATTGATGTAATATATCAATGCAATTCAAATACACAAAAAATTTGGAGTAGCAATTTAATAAGCTGTTTCTAAATTTATACAGAACAAAAGGCTAAGAACAGTGAAAATACTTCAAGGAAAAGAAAGCGGAGGGAGTTTTTGTTAACGAAAATACAAAGGAAAACTATAACGATAGAATTAGACAATGTGCTACTGGCATAAAGACAGTACTGATAAATGAAACAAAATAGGAAATCCATAAACAGACAAACTTCATTTAAAACAGAAAAAAATGAGGAAAGATGGAATCTTAAAATACATTGTGCAAGAAAAACGTTCCATATTTAATAGGGAATGAAACTGGATACCTATCTCACACATTTCATATTAAAATTAACAATTTTAACTTGATATGGCAAGTATTGTGTGTGTGTGTGTGTGTGTGTGTGTGTGTGTGTGTGTGTGTGTATACATATATATATATACTTTTTTTTTTTTTCTTCAGACAAGGTCTCCCTCTGTTACCCAGGTTGGAGTGCAGTGGCATGATCATGGCTCACTGCAGCCTCCACCTTCTGGGCTCGAGCAATCCTTCCACCCTGCCTCCCGAAGTACTGGGATTATGGTAGTGAGCCTCGGTGGCCAACCAAGTATACTTTTCTTAACCTTTACAATAGAATATTTCTATTTCAAGTTTATAAATTCTTATGATTATAAAAGTATTACAGATTGTTTTAAAAGTATCTTGTGAAAAGGATTCTTTTTTTTTTTGAGAAGGAGTCTCACTCTGTTGCCCAGGCTGGAGTGCACTGAGCGCGATCTCTGGTCACTGCAACCTCCGCCTCCTGGGTTCAAGCAATTCTCCTGCCTCAGCCTCCTGAGCAGCTGGGACTACAGGCATGCACCACCACACCTGGCTAATTTTTGTATTTTTAGTAGAGACGGAGTTTCACCATGTTGGCCAGGCTGGTCACAAACCCCTGACCTCAGGTGATCTGCCTGCCTCGACCTCCCAAAGTGCTGGGATTACAAGCGTGAGCCACCACGCCCGGCCGAAAAGGATTCTTATAAAACATACTTCAAATACTTGAGAACTGATAATGTGCTAGTTTTTTAATACAGTGCAAAATAACTATTATGTACTATAATTATTACTAGCTATAGTTTTTTAAAAATCAATGTGGAACAGGAAAAGAAGAGTACTGGTAACCTATCATTTCCAAAATTTGAGAGTTGTGCTGTTGCAGGAAACTGAGGACCAGAGAGACCAATATGGAGAACAGGAGGATTGTTTATTTAAGGTATGCACTGGCTCAGTGGATTCATATCCAAAAAGCTGAGCCAGTACATACCTTAAATAAACAATCCTCCTGTTTCCCCTCATATCGTCTCTCCAGTCCTCGGTTTCCCGCAACAGTGCAGTGCCCAAAAGGTGTACACATTTCATTAGTAATAATTCTGATTAAGAATAAATGTTTTTTCTTTCAGTTTCTGTGTATTATTTTTTAAATGGTTAAATTGTTAAAATATAAACATTTATTAAGTTACTCGAATCCAACAGTAAGAACAACTCTTAGGTCTTTCTTTTGGTGTAGGAGCATCATGAAATAAGGACTGAGACAATAATGGTGTTGTGTAAACCAAGAAAGTTTCGGAATCTCTGGCATAGCAATTGAAAATGAGAATTCTTAAAGAAATTTTTTACTCTTAAAAGCTGATTATCTTAGTATGATATCAAAAAACACATTTTTTTTTTGGGTAGAGATAGCATCTTGCTATGTTGTCCAGGCTGGTCTTCAACTCCTGGGCTCAAGTGATCCTCCCTTCTTGGCCTCCCAGGGTGCTGGTACTAGTTTTGCCCAGCCAAAACCCATAAATTTTAAAATAACGTTCAGTTATATGTTAAAAAGGTAAAAAAGCTATTACCTTGTAAATAAGTTCTGGCAATATATGTCCACAAGTGTCAACCTAAATAAGACACTGAATGAATACTATTCCTTAATGAAAATCCTGGTTCAACAGACACTAAAGTAAATTTATATTTGTACTACTTGACATAGTATCACCTTTCTGCTCTTTAGCATTTTCATAAACACTTATTGAGCACCTGCTAGTACCAGGCAGCAGCTAGGCATACAAATGTTAACAAGAGAGACTGTCTTTTGTTCTCACAGTACTGTACATTTTACAAAAGAATACAGAAAATAACCAGGCAGTTAAAATTCAGTGTAATAAATATCCAAAAACTCAAAACAATCCAAACATCCATCAAGTAAATGAATAAACAATGGAACACTACTCAGCAATAAAAATGAAGAAGTTATTGATACACAAAAAAATCTATCAATTTCTAATTCTGATTGAAAGAAGCCAGACACAAAATATATATGGTACATTAAAAATCTTAGAAAATACAAACTAATGTATAGATTAAAAAGCAGATAAATGGTTTTGTCGGGGTAGGATCACAGAAAGAGAGATGGACAGTAAAGTGGCACAAGAGTTCTTGATAAACACATAGAGCCTCTGCATCTTTATTGTGCCAGAGGTTTCACGGTTGTATACAATTGTTTAAAAACTTACTGAATTTTACATTTTAAATGGATGCCATTTATTGTACATAAATTATACTTCAATAAAGGTCATTTTAAAAAATGTTCATGATAAATGCTATAAATAGAAAACACCAAATGCCTAACACAGGAAGTGTAGCTAACATAAATTCAGTGGTGTTAAGGCAAATCGGGATGACTTCTCAGAGAAAGTGACATCTCTACTGAGACAGAAAGAATAAATGAGAGTTAGCAAGGTACAGAGAAGGCAATAGGAAGAGTGTCTTAACAGGAAAGCATAGCATATGAGCAGGCCGGAAGGCAATGGGAAGCACAGAGCTTCTGAGGAATGAAGACAACACTAAATTTGCCTGGAGCATGGAAGGAAGGGAAAGATGATAAGGGTGGTAAAATTCAAGAATAGCAAGGCGAGCAGACGGCTGATATAAAGCTCTCTGAGTCTGGGTAGGCAATCTGAAATACAGTAAATTCCCACTTAAAGTCTTTGATAACTTCTTGGAAATTGTGACTTTAAGCAAAACAATGTACAAGGAAACCGATTTTAGCATAGGCTAGTTGACATAAACAAGAGTTAAATTCCTGTGGCATACCTCTGGGTCACAAAAACATCACCAAACTTATAAATAAAGATCAAAACACTTCTAATAATAAACACTGAAATAAATGTGAGCTATACATACATTTAGTAAAATTAATAAAAACCAGTAAGATAACTATTTATGCACCTATTCCAGTTCAGGGTTTCCAGTGGCCAGAGCCTATCCCCACCAATTCAGGGTGCCAGGTAGGAACCATCCCTGGACAGGACACCATTCCATCGCAAGGCACACTCAGACTGGGAATGATGTAGATACACCAATGAACCTCAAGTACGCATCTTGGGGATGTGGGAGGAAACTGGAGTACCCAGAGAAAACCCGTGCAAACATGAGAATATGCAAACTCCACAGACAGTGGCCCCAGCTAGGAACCAATTTTTTTTCATCAACATTACAACAAAACGACACTGAACAAAATGAATTCATGTGAGGACCTAACAGAAGATGAGATGCTGCCATAGTGCAATAAGTTGGGGGGGGGGGGGGGGGCAGTACTAGAGTTAAATATACCAGGTGAGAGCAGAATGTGCCCTAAGTTATAATCGTGACAAAGGGGAGAAACGCTGAAAGAGTCAGAAAATATTCAAGAGGCAGAATCTAGATAATTCAGTAGATACAACCTAAGAAGAAAGAGTCAAAGATGATGCCCAAGTTCCTGACTTGGGCAACTGCTCAGATGTTGCCATGCACTAAGAAAGCAAACGTATCAAGAGAGTGAGAAGATAAGCCACATAATGGGAGAAAATATTTGCAAAAGATGCCTAAGACTGTCATTTGAGATATACAAAGAAATATTAAAAGTCAACAATAAAAAAGCAAACAGCCTGATTTTTTAAATGGGCAAAAGATCCAAAAAAATCTCTGTGATCTCTCCTAGATTCCCTATTCCGGCACAAAAAAAGATAGGTGAGACATCCTTTGCCTCTGCCATCAAGAGACTTACCTCTAAACTTGTGACCCTTTTTGTGACTAAAAAATCAGTAGGTACATCACTAAAATGTTATGTTCCAGGACAGAAGGGATTATGTTTTATTGTATTTCCACTGCCTAAAACAGTAGCACCAAGTAGGCACTAAAATACTTAATAAACTACTATTTACAACTGGTAAAAACAGCAAAGCATGAGACAGTTGTATAACACTCTAATCCAGAAATAAACCCAACCAAATATATAAGTTCCATATATAATAAATGAACTGGCTGGATGCAGTGGTTCATGCCTATAATCCCAGCACTTTGGGAGGCTGAGGCTGGCAGATCACTTGAGGTCAGGAGTTCAAGACAAGCCTGGCGAACATGACAAAACCACCTCTCTACTAAAAATACAAAAATTAGCCAGGCGTAGTGGCACACTCCTGTAACCCCAGCTCCTTGGGAGGATGAGGTATGAGAATCACTTGAACCCAGGAGGCGGAGGTTGCAGTGAGCCAAGATCACAGCACTGCGCTCCAGCATGGGTGACAGAAAGAGACTCTGTCTCATCCCCCAAAAGAAGTAGTAAATTAGAAGCTCAAACAGCCATTAGTTGTGAACTATTTAAATAAACTACAGTACATGCATCTGATAAAATACTGTAGTCATTAAAGAATGATATATCTGTATTAGAAATGATATCTGAATCACACTATTGAATAAAACAAACCAATTTTACAACACCACATATATAAAACATGTTTCTATTAAAAATACATGCTACCCAGAAGCTTCTTAGCCAACAATATGACACAAATATATATTTACAGGTATGAACCAAAAAACAAATGTAGGTAAAGACGACGACTTGATTTTTACTAGTGAACCCAATTTTCTTGACTCTGAACTCCCATGTAACTCTGGGTAGAAAACTAAACCTTGTCACTTTCAAAAATAATGAAATCCAGGGCAGGGCCACTGGCACAAGCAGTATCTAGTACTTTCTCTGGTTGGGGACAAACAACTAATCTGCAGGTATCACTCAACGTACTCCAAGCAGCTTCCTGGCACAGCTGACAACATAGTTACTTCCATGTCCCATACCAAATCACCACATACCAGATGCTATCTTTTTCTTCTACTGGGCAGCCTCTTCAAGCTAGCATATCAATTCATTCATTATGGTGCACTGTGTCCACAGGAAATAAGAATCTACTTTATATGAAACTTACCTCCTTCAGGAAAGGACTGAAAGAGAAGTGTACCTTGTTTTCACACTCCCTTTTACTCTCCACAGTATAATTCTCCCTTTCCTTTCTTTCACCAAATTCTTGATCTCCTTGTAATGCCTCTTTGCTCCTATTGGAATCACTTTGGTCTCTTGGATATAAGAAATTTACAGCCTAGTTCTTTGTATACCTGTCTCAACATTATACTTTCAGTTGATCCATGGGAGGTGGGAAGGGAGACAGACCAAGAGCAGCAACAACAGGTATACTTCTTCATTGAGTGTAGGAGCACACCTTCACAGACTTCTCCAGGCATTTATGCCTACCACACGTAGGATTTCTGATGAACATGACCTCTTCATGTAACTGTTCAAAAAAACTTTTCTTTTTTTAAAAGAACAATGAATATTTTTCAATCGGGGGGGAGTCTTTTATTTTGGAAAAACAGTTAAGTGGGTAGAGAATTTTGAAAAATTACTAAGTACAAAACATGAAAGATACACAAATATTTCCCTGTTTTTATTGGTAATGCACATAAGAAAATTACTTTGATTTGCTATTAATAACACCCATCAACCTCACAGTTTTCAGACTGCACTAAGTATTTTTCATACTAATAAAAACAAAATCTACATAAAAGACTAGTAGTTACAACCTCAACATGCCAAAGAGTACTTGCTCATTTTGGATTCTCCTGTCTGCCTCATAAGCTACCTACATTGAAAAAATAAAATTCACACTTCTGAGAGCTACTGTTGCTTCTAGTACAGGAGACCAAGCACTTGACTTACTATTCAAATCCTGTTCCTCTTGAAAGTAACTCCAATCTGACCAAATGTGATAGAGGACAGGTTCAGGAGACAGACAAACTGTATACAAATCCTGGTTCCATTGTGTTCATTTGCTGTAAAACAATGTTAACATGATATATGAATTCATTGCTCAAGATCTAGAACCATTTTAGGAACCTTCAATTTTCTCTGGGACATAATCATATCTAAGAATATTAGATATAATAAATCTTCTGAAGACAAAAGATACAAATAAAAGGGGGAAAGCAACTTAAAAAATCTTATAGTCTACAATGAATAGAAAAAACTCAGGTTTACAGCCTTCCAAATACATACTGCCAACTGAGATGTTACCACAAGTACAATTTTGCTTAGACCTCAAGGCTCTAGGCAAAATTACAAATAAGGTAAAGTTTGCTGTGAGGTCCACCACCTTCTTCTCTGGAACTCCTCCGAGCTACAATCCCTTACTACTAGAAACACACACATACACTCTCACCAATCTACTCTTTTCCCTAGTTTCTGGAAACATAGTGCCTCTACCAGACTACTCTTTGGCTATCAATTTCAATAGCAAATTTTATCTAATATAGCAAACTTTACCTAGTACCTAAGGTATTAGTAAGGCTTCCAGTGTTTATTCCTTCCTCTGCCCTTCATTCACTTTTACCAAAAGAGCCAGGAAATAGCATACATATTAACATTGCAGTATTTATTTCCTACCAACATCACTTCCTTTCCTGACTTGGAAAATAACTTCAGGAGATGTAGTAAAAAAGAGTCCTCACTTGGAAAGCAATCATGTATAGTCAAAGCAAACTCTGAAAAACTCGAGTTTCATACTTCAAATGAGGGAAGCCACTTGCACAATAGGTAATGTCAATACAAAACTTGCCAAGAAAAAATACAATATGGATAATCTCCATATAGATAAGAATGTGCTATACTGATTGGTTTTGCTTATAGATAAAGAGTAGGTAGTACAACAAGAGGATAAAAACTGAAATACATATGCAAATGGTGGGGGAAGTTAAAGGGTATATCTACTCTTCATCTATTAAGGTAATCAAAGATACATAATTTTGATTGTATTAACCAAAACAAACAACTAAAAAGATAATCAACAAAATTCACAAACCACTCCTTCATGTTGTAATATGTCCATATAATAATCTGGCTATCTAATCATGGCTGTGGCCATTATCATGATTTGAAAATAGAAAGCAATTTACTTGTATTCCATAGACTCAAAGGTCGCAAAGAATAATAAAAACCAGGTGAGAAGTCAAGAACTTCATTTCATTTCTCAAATGAAACAGGCAGGTTACCTAGTCACCAAATTCCTAAACACAGTAATAATTCTGCTTAAGCTAATTAAAATCTAAGGAATATACTTAATTATTTTAATTTAACATTCAGGATTTCCAGAAGTATATAAAATTAGTATCTCCTACTTCACAGAAGCATAATCAGACAATATGAAAAAGTGGTATTACTAAAGAATAAGGAAAATAAGAATTAAATGTTTATCTGGTATATACTGCCAACTATTTTAGCTCTGACTAATTTTAGGCTTACATTTTAAAAAATAGTCTAGAAATGATTGATTTAGATTTTAACCTAACAAAATGGCCTACCATACTCCTGAAGTATTTTTGTTTTTTTTAATATAAGTAATAATATATAAGGAATATCCAGGAAAAACTACTTAAAGTCATTTGATTTTCCTTTTTATTATGATTAAATTAAATTGGATATTCACTAAAGCACTTAAGTTCAAAGAAAAATGACCAACAAGAAAAAATGTCCTTAATATGAAATCAGTACGTATCGTCTAAGTGTCAATAGATCAAAATCGGCAAGGAAAACAAAAATGACAGATATAGCAGACCTACTTTGAAAGTTTCTAAACTTCTCTCCTCTACTATGCTTTTTGTTACACAATTGCTCTCCACATTTTGGACAAAGGAACTTCCTATTTAAACTATTCCTCCTGTATTCAGAGAAGGCAAAAGTAGAAATGGGGTGGGGGAAGTTATATAAATTCACTGTCAATGGCATCCTACTCCTTTCCTTTTTTCTATCCAGGAATGTAAATGAGAGCCAAGTGAAGTACAGTGGAAAAAAAAACACTTAAGAACTTTTCTCTTTACTCATTCTTTCAGACATACCACAATGATTGAAATGAACTGAAAATAACCCAATATTTTATAATGGTCACATTTTTCCTAATAGTTTTGTTCATCTAAAAAATGTCATTTCCACCTTCAGGCCTAGATGAAGGGGTTTAAGAATAAGAACTGCAAGAAAATGAGGGCTAATGTGTTTACAATTTCTTCTAACGGAAAAAACATGAGGCTTACATGGGAAATTCTTTCTCAAGGATGCTAGACTCCTTGAGGCCACAGATGAGAGTGACACAGCAGGCAAGTCGTGCTGGGTCCAAGGAGCTAGAGCAGGAGATATCCCAGAAGCCCAGCTCTGGCACTCAACTTTCCTGATACCTGGTTTACCTTATTTCTACAGTAGTGACCAATCTGAAATACCTTAGCCGAAACAAAATGTATTAACTCCTAAAGGGAAAAAATGAGAATGTAACTTTCCAGATTAAGTCCAAGGCAAACATTAACATGGTTTATATATAATAATGTCTTGAATTTCTTGAATTTCTATTTACAGTATGAAGAATAGTATGTAAAAGGGGGAAATGGTACAAATAATTCCATTTAAAAGATTTGTTTTATAGGAAACAGTCTTTAAAGCTATCTACCAAATTTCTAAACATGGAAGAAAGCTGAGGGAGGGTTATAAAGAAAGGTACTTTTCACAATGGATACTTCTATATTGCTTTGACTTTTGTTTCAACATATACTATGTCTGTGATTTAAAATAAAATAAAAGATTTGGTGTACCTACAAATAACAGTGTTATGTCACATTGTTATAGGGCATTTGGAAAAAGACACATATGCTATGCGAGTACACTTTATCAAATGTAAATCCTTATATATATTTTCTAGTATTACCTGTATAAAGTATTTCTCCAACTCACTGAATATAGTCTATGTGAAATTCAGAATAGTATTATCTAAAATAACTCAAGTCACAGAATGAATTACTCTTAATATATGTGTAAAATAGTTAATGCTTTAACAGTAACAGAAAACATACTATGATGTATCATCAATAACTATACACAACTTTGGCATTCTTTCAACCGTTTTTTATTTTTATTTTTACTTATTGTCAATGAAGATTTATTTCTTGCTTAAGCAACATATTCAACACAAGTGGAAATGGAGATCTGTTCTTTTCTCTAAATAAAAATTGCATATACTTAAGGTATACAACATCTTTTGACATATGTGTAGATAGTGAAATGATTACTACAGTCAAGCTAATTAACATCTACCATTTTCATTACAATTCCCAATTAGCCAGTAAACTTGTCTTCCATTTAATATTCCAATATCTGCAAGGTTTTCTCCCTTAATCTGTCTCCAATTAATGAAAGTAAATCAAACATCAAAATGTTCTCTATATGAACTATTATAAAGCTAGCTCTTGAATTGTTCTATTAAAGTCGTCAATACATTTCTATAAATACTGGAAAACATCACTGACATCCATCCAAAAGATCTAACAGTTTCATAAAGCAAAAGATTTTTAAAACTAAACACCATATAACACCAAATTGTCATTTCCTTTACTTAAATATTTCTTCTTATGAAAACTGGAATAACAACAGTCAAAAACTAAATCAGCATCCTTCTAAAAAAAGAATTTTTTTCTAAATCAATGAGACTTTCCAAAGTAGCTATATACATACATCTCTTATTCTTCATATTGCTAATTTTTCAAGTAGCTTTAAAAAAGATTTTAATTATATTTAAAGATTTAATGTAAATATAATTTACATTATATTTACTATGGAAATCTGCAAATAAACTGAAAATAAACATTTTTAAATAAAAGATAATTTTTCAAACTAATTTTTTAAAAACCTGTATTCTAAACGAAGAGAAAAAAATTGCTAGAAATTTAGGTTGAAACCAAGAAAAAACATCTGAGTGATTTTTATTCATTTGTCAGCTTCCTGAAAAACTTACTGGGTAATTTTTGTTTTCTTCTTCCTGACTATATCAAAAAGTCTAGAACACTTTATATCAAGGTCAAGAAACTCTTCACAAGGGATCAAAATTTCATTTTAAATTTAAAAATGTAAGTAACAGCAGTTCACTTACCAGCACCTGAGACACCTTCTGTTAACATATCCACTTATTTTTTAAAGCAGCAAAATAAAAACATTATAACAGTAACAGGTTGTAAAGTAAGTAGTACCACCTCCAGGATCACTACAAAGCTCACAAAAACAAACTGCTTCACTGTTCACAGATTGAATCCCCTTATCAACAAATACTGTCCTGCTAACACTCTTTTAAGTACAGCGAATAAAAATACTTTGTTAACCTTCTCTTTTGATATCATTCCGCTGATATTTCTCTGCTTTTTCCATGACTCTCTGTGCTCTGGCGCTTGCAAAATTCACTACCAAATGCACCTTCTAAGTATTCCTCCTCACCTGCTCCTCCCCAGCCTCCTCAGGTGATCGGACTCTGCACCCTTTTATATGAAACTCATCAGTGAACAGAGTCCACCAATAATTATTCAATGTCTCCAATTAGTCACTTGCTCTGTTAGGTTATCTTTCTTTCTTTTTTTTTTTGAGGCAGAGTTTCGCTCTTGTTGCCCAGGCTAGAGTGCAATGGCATGATCTCGGCTCACTGCAACCTCCGCCTCCCAGGTTCAAGCAATTCTCCTGCCTCAGCCTCCCAAGTAGCTGGGATTACAGGCATGCACCACCAAGCCCAGCTAATTTTGTATTTTTAGTAGAGACGGGATTTCTCCACGTTGGTCAGGCTGGTCTTGAACTCCAGAACTCAGGTGACCTGCCCGCCTCAGCCTCCCAAAGTGCTGGGATTACAGGCGTGAGAGTTATCTTAAATCTCATGTGTTATCTTAACCTTCAGAAGCAAGTCATAACTTAAAGGGTATCAACTACGTTTATTAGCTTTTTGCTGAATGCAAATCTATTCTTCTTTTTTAATGGCAACTAATATTTAAACTTTTCCAAACACTAGCTTAATAACAACAGCTTAAAAACAGCTATTACTGTGCCATTTCTTTTTTGAGACGGAGTCTCACTCTGCAACACAGGCTGGAGTGCACTGGTGCGATTTCGGCTCACTGCAACCTCCACCTCCCGGGTTCAAGCACTTCTCCTGCCTCAGCCTCCCGAGTAGCTGGAATTACAGGCGCCCGCCACCACGCCCAGCTAATTTTTGTATATTTAGTAGAGACGGGGTTTCACCATGTTGGCAAAGCTGGTCTCAAACTCCTGACCTGAGGTGATCTGCCCGCCTCGACCTCCCAAAATGCTGGGATTACAGGTGTGAGCCACCACGCCTGGCCTACTATGCCACTTCTAATAGAAAAGAACTTTTATAATTATGAGTATTTAGACTGAGTAAAAACCTTACTTATGAGCAAGATAAGCAACTGTTATGGATGTGCATTACAAGCATCACCATCTAGATTTTCCCTTACAGAAAGATGGAGTAGGTGTTTCCCTATTCTTCCTGCTAAATATATTTTAAAGCTCTGGACCTTACATATGTAAAAAATAAATAAATAATTAAATTTTGAAAAGAAGGCAGACCAGCCAGGGACAGGAACTGAGCAAGTTCCTCAGAATCTGAGGAACAACATGGCAGTGAGTTCACTAATATTCTTTTTGCCTATATCCCAGGCTAGGTACTGGAGAAGTCTGCAACATAGAAATGCCAATGCAAGCAGAGAAGAAGAAAACAAAACTCAAGAAAAGCCCACTAGTGTTAGCCCTAGCCAAATGACCAGGAAACAGGCAGACTGGCAAGACAGAGAGCTCTTAGACAATAACCACTGTGCCACAGTCAAACACCACAGGGACAAAAAAAAAAAAAAAAAAAAAACTGTAGCACCAGTCCTGCCCATGGTAGCAATGACCAAGTAGGGAACCTAGACTTCCATCCTCATCAGGCTATAATAAGGCGCCCCAATCACCACCATAGACCCCACTTTCGCCCCCAACCACCACCCACCAGAGGCATGGTTACCAGAAAAGGCCCAGTATACAGCCGGGACTTCCCTCCACACTAGGTGAAAACAAACCACACCTTCCTTCCCCCTGCTGTCAGCGGAGGCCATATGGACAGCACTAATGAAGTACATCTGCCTCTCCAGCCAAGGCAGGTATCGATGGAAACACAGTGGGGAGCCCCTCCCGACAACTGTCAACAGAGACCAAGTGAGGCACTGGACTTTGGCACAATTCATTTCACTTTTTTCAGCATAGATTTCCTCTTTAGGAAAATAAAGCTTATATTTAGATCCAAGGTCCTCAACCAATATTGACTGTTATAAATATTTTTACCACTGATACTTCTACCAGGACTTGAACACAAATCTTCAGCTTTTAATAACGAGGCCCCAGAGATGTCTGCTTTATCCCCAGTCTCAGTAACTGAAATAACTTTCCATAGTCAATTTAGCCCCTCACCTAAAATGAACTACCTTTTTTCCATTCCAAAGGACTCAACAAAAAAAAAAAATCATTTCCACAGGTCATTTTTCTAAACACAACACTTTAGTTCCACAAAAAAGACCTAACAAAATTTGTTTTGCCCTAAGAAGTTAGAACTTATACTCAAATCCTAACACACTAAAATCTTTTTTACTATCTAGTTTAAGCAAATAGACTAATCAAGCTAACTGCTAGTTCCACATTTTCTCATTTTAACTGTTTTCCTCTTTATTTTTCTCCTTCCTTGAAAACTACTAACTTCTTTTAAAAGGGCAATTTGAAAAGTTCTGCCTTTTTCCCTATTTTATTGTTAATACTTAACAGTGCCTGCCATATTATAGGTATTCAAAAAAATTTGTTGACTAATTTTATAATTTAGGTGATTTTCTTCTCCAATTTCTCCTTTCAGATATGAATGGGCAGTTCTTGAGCAAGAAAATAACAGGATGAGATAATAAATTCCACTATATATCTACATACAAGGAATAGACACACAAAATCTAATTGCTACCAAACAATCCTAACAGGTAAGTTCCCTGCTTTGACACAGGAAGAAACTCATGCTCTAGGGTGAAGCATCTTCAGAAAGAACACACAACAGGTACTTGTGTGGATATAGTGGCAAGGGCACGGTCATCAAAAGAAGTCAAACAGAGGTCTACACATCCTGATTCCAAAGGCCGTACTCCTGTCACAATGCCAAACTATCTTCTTCCTGAAGTAGCTCTAGTAGAGTAGCTAGAAACCCAAACCATCACATGCAGCCTACTTTGTCTAATTTCAGGGTTCCTTCTCAAAGGGAATTCATTCCTTATCTACTCTGCATTCTCCTGTGTTTTACTGGCCAAATCTTGTCAGAGATGTTATTCTAGACCACCCAACTTATCAATGTCATTTTCCACCTCCCCAAGCATTTTTGTTCAAAGTGCTTATGGCTATCAAAAATTAACTTTATCTTATTCATTTATTCTTTTGCATATTTGTCTGCCCCACCATTAGAATATGAACTCATTAAAAAAGAGTGAAGTTATCTGTGTTATTCACAGTTGTGTTCTTGCCACCTATAAAAAGTCCTAGCGCAAGGAACCTCAGTAAATATCTGAATAAATAAATGAGTGGCAAATAGATAAGAATAAAACAACTGAATTGGAACACCAAGAGGCGGAGTGTAGGGAGGGATATGCCACAGTACTACCGTGTCTCTTTCTAAAAAATACCACAACAGAGGCTACCTGGGGAATTCATACTCTTTTCAGGAATACTGAAGAGACCCACTATCTAAATAAAACTGAAAAGCCTGTCACAACTATTGCAAAAAGGGACATGTGGTTGATTTTTAAAAAGATGTACAACTAGAACATTCATACATTGCTGATGGAAATGTGAAATGTGAAATGGGACAATCACTTCAGAATACAGTTTTGCAGTTTCTTATATACCCCAGCAATCCCACTCCCAAGTATTACTCAAAAGAAATGAAAATATATGTTCACACAAAGAGGCATATATCATTGTTTATGACAGCTTTACCCCTGATATTCAGAAATTGAAAACAATCTAAATATCCACCAACAGGTAAAAAGAGGATAAACACTGTGGTATACATAAAATGGAATGCTTCTTAGCAAAGGAGAGCAGACACAAAAAAGCCAATCATTATTAATTATACTAAATTATTATAAAAGCAAAACTAATCTAGAATGACAAAAAGCATATCAGTGGTTGCCACTAGCCTGCAAGGCACAAATGCAGTAGAACACTAACTTTTGCAGATAATGAATGTTCTAATATCTTAATGTTATGCTAGCTGCATAGGTATATAGGTATAGCTGCATAGGTATATTTGTCAAAACTCACAGAAATACACTTTAAAATGGGTGTATTTTATTCTGTAAATCATAACTCAGTATTCTGATTTTTTAAATTCATATCTGATCATTTTCACTGTTCTCTTTGAAGTCTCCCATTTTCCTCAGAATAAAGGGGGAAAACCTTTGTAACAACCCCAGTATATATACACATATAAACACACTTAAAGACACACACTCAGAACCTCCCCCAACAACACCTGACACAAAAGTTTTACAAAACAATATTTAACCATTCTACCTAGGGGGATAAACTGACATTTTCTATTCAACTTCACTCCTATCCATCTTATTTATGTAAAATGCTGATCACAACACATTAAATTTAGTAAGCGAAGTCTACTAGATTAAACGCTTAATACATCATCTCATTGGATACTCATAACACTATAAGATAAATACTATTAATATCCCTTTTTTCAGCAGATAGAGGTGGTGGTAAAAATCTCATAAATACTAAATAACTTACCCAGGGAAACACAAGTCTGCCAGGCTCCAAAGTCTAAATACCTAAACTATATACCAGATTGTCTATATCCATCAAAAGATCTAAAAGATGATAAAGAAATATCATGAAGACTTGGCAACTATTATTAGTCTGTTCCTGTGCTGTTATAAAGAAGTATCTGAGGCTGGGTAATTTATTTTAAAAAGAGGTTTAGGGCCAGGCGCGGTGGCTTAGGCCTGCAATCTCAGCACTTTGGGAGGTCAAGGCAGGCATATCACCTGAGCCCAGAAGTTCAAGACCAGCCTGGGCAACATGGCAAACCCCACCTCCACAAAAAATAGAAAAAACATTAGCCAGGCATGGTGGCACACACCTGTAGTCGCAGCTATTTGTCAGGCTGAGGTGAGAGGATCGCTTGAGCCCAGAAAGTCGAGGCTGCAGCGAGCTGTGATCGCACCGCACCACTGCACTCCCGCCTGGGTGACAGAGTAAGAAACCGCCTCCAAAAAAAAAAAAAAAGAAGTTTAATTGGCTCACAGTTCTGCAAGCTATACAAGCATGGCTCCAGCATCTCTTCCTGGTGAGGGCCTGAGGAAGCTTCCAATCATGGCAGAAGAAGAAAGGGGAGCAGGCGCATCACATAGTGAGAGCAGGAACAAGAGAAAGAGGAGGGAGGTTCCAAACTCTTTTAAATAGCCAGATCCCAAGTGAACTGGGTGAGAATTCATTTATTACCAAGGGCATGGCGCTAAATCATTCATGCCAGATCAGCCCCCATGGGTCAATCACCTCCCACCAGGCCCCACCTCCCATATTAGGAATCACATTTCAACATGAGATTTGGAGGGGACAACTACCAGCAACTAACTCATATTGGCAGAAATAAAAAACTATAGAATTGATATACACTGAAGTGCTGCACTAAATATAAAATCATATGCTATGATCTAACTTTAATAAAGAATAACAGTTGATTGTCCATGACTTTCCTATTTACATCTCAATTACTCTGAAACTAAAAATCTCAGCCTCCACTGTCCTGTTTTCTAACTTTTCATAAGCAAACTAAAACATCATTTGTCACTCACACTGAAAAAAAAATGGGAAGTATATAAATGGGAAAATTTATTTTATCTGGTGTCATCTCTAACTTTCTGTTCCAGTATTACTGCCCAATTCTAACCAATTCAGGATCTTCTCTCAATCCAGAAGCTATAAAATCAAGTAAACAAAGCATCCATTGCACATCATGAAAAGACCTTCATGAGTACCAGTCAACACACACACTGGGTGTGATAGGCATTACTAATGCTCTAGTTCTACTGTTCTTTTGCATATAAAGCAAGATCATATTTTTCTGCCCCTTTGATAGTACACATGACCACATCATTGCTATGGGCCAATGAAATGAAAAAGTAATATGGACCACTTCCAGAGGGAAGCATTTAAAACTGGAACGTGATTTTCTATGCTCTGTTGCTCTGTCCTCAAAAATTACAAAAGCACAAATTGACAATGACTTGCCACAAGACTAAAGCAGCCCAGAAGGTTGTGCCGCCACATGAAAAGCAGCACAGTGACTTGGCTAGCTGGACCAAACTTTGCATGAAAGGATGTAGTCTTTCCTTGTGCTACGCCACCACTGAGATTTTGATGTTGGTACCACAATGTAAACTATCCTGACTTACAAAATGAACTTCCTAATTTCCTTAAACTGTATAATAAAATCTTGGTTTTCAGCAAAATTTCCAGGGATAGAGGCAGAACACAATGATTAAATGCATTTTACAAAGTTATCTAGAAACCTATGCATTTCAAGCCAAGCTTCATTTTCTAATTACCTGTATTTTTACTTTTTTTCCCACATATTTTGCATTCCATCTTTAGTCTTTGAATTTCCTTTACGTCAAGTGTCTTTCTTCTGAAATTTCTTGAGTTTAGTTTAAAAAAAAAAATTTACTTCCATCAAATTGCAATTTGAGAAACAGTTTGATTTTTTTTTTCCTTTTCCAGGGTCAAATCTGAAAGTGATCAAAAGCACTTTTAATTTTATAATGCTAAGATCTTTCAACTATGCTGATGCTACTGGAAAATTTCAATGACTAGGATTTATATCACTTGCCCCAACAGCCTCAAAAGCACAGGACGTTACAGAATGATCACATTTCTCTAATAACTAGCACATACCATAGATGCATTTTTTCATCTAAAAAGAGCCCTGGCATTGGCCTGTCATAGAGTTAACTATGATCAAGTTTTTAGCCCATATTACCAGCAAGACTTTGGGTAAGAATGACACATTCCCTATGCCTAATTTTCAAAGACATGAGAATAAAGTGAGATAACGTATGTGAATATGCAAAGTATTCATACAGATATAAAGTGTTATTAGCCTATTATCTATCCCCTTCATTTCCACTCTCAATGTAGCACTCTGATCTCTATTATACTTTATAGCCCCAACTCTATCTTCTGGAAAACCTTTCCTTCTCATTCAGATTAATTTATTAAATAGTTTTAAATATCTTTAAGCAATCTTCAAAATATACTGTACCCCCTACTTTAACCCATGCTTTTAGTCTTAAATCCCATTACTCCCCCATATGAAAACTTTCATTCAGCCAAAGTAGTCTGCCTAATTATCTTTTTATCATAAATTATCTAATACCTTTGCCAGACCTACAATGCACTCAGTACTCCTATAACTTTCTACCTTAAGAACCAATTCAGTGTTACTTTTTTTTTTTTTTTTAAGACGGACTCTCACTCTGTCACCCAGGCTGGAGTGCAGTGGAGTGATCTTGGCTCACTGCAACCTCCGCCTCCTGGGTTCAAGCAATTCTCCTGCCTCAGCCTCCCGAGTAGCTGGGATTGCAGGTGCGTGCCACCACTCCTGGCTAATTTTTGTACTTTTAGTAGAGACTGGGTTTCACCGTGTTGGCCAGGCTGGTCACCAACTCCTGACCTCAGGTGATCCACCTGCCTTGGCCTCCCAAAAGGGTGGGATTACAGGTGTGAGCCACTGCGCCCAGCCTAGTTTTACTTTTAATCCCCTTTCTGAAAGACATTTTTTCAAAGATTCTGTAACACCTATCATCTTATCACATGTCTGCCATTCAGTCATGTAAGGCATTACAATTTATCCTGTTTTACACTGTTATTTCCCCCAATAAAATAAATTGTGGGAAAGATTCTTCTCACCACACCCCAAAATATGTCACAGTCAACTAAGCATTTGTTTACTGGAATGTGTTTATTTTGTTTTATCTCAATTACAAAGTAGCAACTCCAACAACCAAGTGCCAAATATGAACTAGCCAAGACATTGATACTGAATCAAAGTTATACCCACAAATAAATCTTTATTCTCTACTTTAGTCTAAAACATTGAAGTTAAGAATGTAGTAATATCTGCTAAGTTAGCCTGGTTTCTCCTCAGTTTTAGCTTACTTCTTAAACATAACAAATTAATGAGGTATAGTTTATGATTTGTAGCTACAAAATAAAAATGAAATGACTTAAAAAAGATCAATGAAGTAGACTATTCATATCTTTCCAAGTGAAAAACATTTAATCATACTAAACACAAAAAAAGATTGATGACATACTAAAAATGAAAATTTTACAGCTAATAGTAAAGTTGTTTATACTTAGACAAGTCACAAAAAGCATTTACGAGGAATACATAAGCAGAAGGAAGACAAAAGTCTATTGGTTAAAATACATTAAGAACTACTAGAAATTAACTAGAATATGAACAAGAACTCAAAGGAAAAATAGAAGAAATATCCTGAACAAGCTGTACACAAGGAACTGAAATGTGAAAAGATGCCTAGCTTCACTAGTAATCATGAAAATGAAACACAACATGGTAGATACTACTGTACATCTGTAAGGCTAGCCCCCCCCCCAAAAAAAAATTTTTTTTAAAGTCTGATGGTATCAGACGTTTTTAAATTGGTATAATTACTTGAGAGAGAAATCAGACAACATCTAGTATAGTTGAACATGTGCACACCCTAGGAGTCAGCAAATCTTCAGCTGTACACATACCCCAAAAAAGATGTTTACTGAAGTTCTAATAGCTAAAAATTTCTTAATAGCTAAAAATTGAAAAAAAGTCCTAAATATCCAAAAAATATGTAATACTTAGCCGGACAATGGAATACTATGCAGAGATTAGAAAGTAGTAGTAAAGGTGTCTCTCCTATAATACTGTATGTGCAGTCTTAAACACCATGCATTCTGGGAGAAAAAAAAACACTAAAATACCACTTATTATGTGAAAACTTCAAAATCAAACACTAAAAATACCAGTGACTATATAAAAAATAGAGTTTGCAGACCACTCAATTTATGCAAAAACCTATGCAGTTTGGGACCTCAACACTATAAACGAAAACAAATAATAACTAGAACCTACATAGATAGGCAATAACTTAGACTGCCCAAGCAGTCATGACTGAAGAATTCTTCAGTAGCTATTAAAAATGTAAAACAAAAAACAATTAAGTGGGAATGTTGGTTGGCTTATGGATGCTGAGACAGTGAAAGTGAGCACCAGGATTTAAGAGCCCTCAATGCCAGAACTGTAAACTTTGAGGAAGATACCCTTAGAGATACAGATGGTTACTTTAAAAGAAGAAAAAAAAAAAAAAAAGGTATTCAGATTCAAAAGAACTCCAAGCTGCTTCCATTTTCTTGCTGAAGTCATAATCCTACAATCTTTATTACAGCTCTTCTTACCTAGAAAATAAACTAACACACTTTCTCATTGTCCTGACATCATTTCTCTCTACTAATTACCTATAAGCTAACTAGTGTTATAAAACCCATTTGTAACAGATGCAACTACATTATGTATCCATGTTGAAATCTCACATTAAATATAAAGAAAAGGTGCAATGTGAAACAATTATGTAAGTGTCTAAATCACACAAAATACTATTTGTTTATGCACAGGCAAATAGGTGTAAAACTATGGACTAAAGGATACATACAACTTAAGAACACAGGTGGTCCTGCAAAGGAAGAGAAATGAGAAGGAGGTGATGAGAACTCAATCTCATCTGTAATGTTCTCTTTATTAAAAAGTAACACTTAAGCAAGATGGCAAAATGATAATATTCTGTACATTAAGTTCATAGATCCTTGTGTTCAATATCCTTTGTAAAATACTTTTAAAACTGGAAGACAAACACACTGCAAAGGGACAATGAAATGGGCATAAGTTTGTCACAAAACAAACTTATGGTGTCTAAAGTTTTTCATAATAAGCCACAAAAACAATTCAGCATTTCTATTCATCTTCCAGCCCAATTTGACTATCATTGTTCTTCAGTATAGCTATCTGAATTAGTAACAGGGACGTGAGTTTTTTACAAGAAGCCTAGTTCCACCATCCACACTCCATATTCACAGATTTACAAAATAACATGCACCTTTTTATGTTTGTTTTTTTTGAGACAGAGTCTCGTTCTGCAACCCAGGCTGGAGTGCAGTGGTGCGATCTCGGCTCACTGCAACCTCCGCCTCCCACGTTCAAGCGATTCTCCTGCCTCAGCCTCCTGGGTGGCTGGGACTACAGGCGCATGTCACCACTCCCGGCGAATTTTTTGTATTTTATTTTATATATATTTTTTTTTTCAGACGGAGTCTCGCTCTGTTGCCCAGGCTGGAGTGCAGTGGCGCGATCTCGGCTCACTGCAAGCTCCGCCTCCCGGCTTCACACCATTCTCCTGCCTCAGCCTCCCAAGTAGCTGGGACTACAGCCGCCCGCCACTACGCCCAGCTAATTTTTTGTATTTTTAGTAGAGACGGGGTTTCTCCGTGTTAGCCAGGATGGTCCCAATCTCCTGACCTCGTGATCCGCCCACCTCGGCCTCCCAAAGTGCTGGGATTACAAGTGTGAGCCACCCCCGGCCAATTTTTTGTATTTTAGTAGAGTTGAGGTTTCACCGTGTTAGCCAGGATGAACGTGCACCTTAATGTCCCAATAGGAAGCTTATTTTCAAATGGACAGTGAATTTTAAATTACAGCTTTCCCCTGAATTTTAACATACACATCTGAAGTGATAAAGCCAACTACCTTATTAATTTGTGTATTATCCATTGCTGTTGATTACCTAAGGGTAATTTTTTTTAAATAAAATTTTGCTTTGGAATAAAAAGATTTACAGAAGAGTTACAAAGGAAGTAGAAAGTTCCCACACTCTTAATTCAGTTTTGCCTAATGTTAATAGTGTGTATAACCACATTCCACTTCAAAACTGAGAAATTAACACTGGTACATTATTATTAAACTACTAACTGTATATGGATTTAATCAATTTTTCCACTAATGTCCTTTTTCTGTTCCAGAATCCAATCCAGGAAACCAAAATGTATTTGGTTATTATGTCTCCTTTGCCTCTTCTGGTCAATGTCAGTTTCTCAGTATTTCCTTGTTTTTCATGACCTTGACATTTTTGAGGAGTACTGGTCAGGTATTTTGTAGAATGTCTCTCAATTTAGTTTGTCTGAGGTTTTCCCCAGCCAGGATCATGGACTTTGGGGAAGAATACCACAAAGGTGAAGGGAATACATGGTATCAACATAACCTATCACTGGTGACATTAACCTGGACCACTTGGTAAAGGCAGTATTTGCGAAGTTTCTCCATTAAAAGCTACTAAGCTACTATTTTTCCCTGTCCATCTATTCCTTTTTTTTTTTTTTTTTTTTTTTTTTTGAGACACAGAGTCTCACTCTGTCACCAGGCTGGGGTGCAGTGGCGCGATCTCAGCTCATTGCAACCTCTACCTCCCGGGTTCAAGCAATTCTCCCACCTCAGCTTCCTGAGTAGCTGGGACTACAGGCGCACGCCACCATGCCCAGCTAATTTTTGTATTTTTAGTAGAGATGGGGTTTCACCATGTTGGCCAGGATGGTCTCGATCTCTTGACCTCGTAATCTGCCCACCTCGGCCTCCCAAAGTGCTGGAATTACAGGCATGAGCCACCGCGCCCGGCCCCATCTATCCTTTAGTCTATTCCACACCTGAGGAAAGCTTTTGGAAGGGAAAGAGGGGGTGTGCGGAAAAGGAAATAAGTATTTAGAATTATCACTTGGAATTTTTGTTTCAATTTATCCTTTCTCCCGTTTATTTATTCAACCATTTATTTATATCAATATGGACTCATGTATACTTATGCTGTATTTTACATAAAAATCAAATACTAGATTATTGTGCTGCTCAAACTGTTCCAGCTCTAGATATTGGGAGCTCCTTCAGGTTGGGTTCTAAGTCCCTTTGACACAGGCCCACCTTTTGTTTTTTTAACCACTTAATTTTCTGCCACCACAACACGCTCCAGGCTTATCTTGTATCTTCATTACCCCAAACACCAGAATCAGTCATTTCTCCAAGGAGCCCTTCCTTTTATTAGAGAATGGTATTTGGAAATCAAGATCTGGGCACTGGATGTACTCACGGCTACTGAGGTATCACTGCTTCTAGGCCCTCTCAGCAATAAGAGCTGAGGAATACATATATTTGTGTATGCACACTAACCCACATATATAAACACAGACACATATATATACAAAACCATTCCTGTATCTACCTGTACATGTTTTAACTAAACATAAATTCATACTGCTGTCTCTGACTATAATCTAGTAACCTGTGGTTAATTTTTAATCCCAGATTAAACTTTTCTCTATTACCTACCATACTCATAAACTATATACTCTGCTAGCAGGCAGTTCATTAAATTTAACTTCTAGTATTAGTTATACTGAAACAGGAAAGAAAAATTTATTTCAAAATGGAGTTCCATGATAAATCATTCCTAATAGTAGAAATATACATTAGCATACACTCAAGAGAACTATATAAATGTTTTGTATTTAACTTTTAACTTATTTTTGAAATCGGTGTTCTATAACTGCAATAAATTTTCTCTAAAAAGCCATTTTTCTTTACAAAAAAAAATGTATTAGAGCCCATCTTACTGTAGTCCGCCAAAATACCACTTTAAAGTGGAGAAAACAGGGAAATTATGTGATTTGTCTAATACCACACTGCCAGCAAAGGGCAAAGCTGGAACTTGACTGCATTTAAATCCAGTTATTCTGACTTCAGTTTCCATAGTATCTGCATGACAATCTATTATAGATCAAAAAAAGAAGTAAATTCATAAAACAAAAAATGAAGTGACCTTGCTCTAAATATTCAATTCCCTACTATAGCCTCTCTCTGTTGTTTCAAGAGATAAAATATAAAGTGTAGTTACTTCACCTCTGAAAACAGTTACAGGCCTACCTCGTTTTACTGCACTTCGCTTCACTGCACATCACAAATAACTGAATTTTTTTTTTTTTTTACAAATTGAAGGTCTGTGCAACACTGTGTCAAGCAAGCCCATCAATGCCATTTTTCCAACGGCATGGGCTCCCTTTATGTCTCTGTATTACATTTTTGTCATTCTTGCAATATTTCAAACTTCTTCATTATATCTGTTATGGTGATCTGTGATTAGTGATCTTTAATGTTACCATTTTAATTGTTTTGAGGTATCTCAAACTGTGCCCTTGTCAGACAGCAAATTTAATAAATATTGTGTGTCTTCTAACTGTTCCACCAACTGGTCATTTCCTACCCTTTCCCACTCCTCAGGGCTCCCTATTCCCTGAGACACAATGATACTGAAATCAGACTAATTAATAACCCTACAACAGCCTCTAGTATTCAAGTGAAAGGAAGAATCACACATCTCTGACTTAAATCAAAAGCTAGAAATGACCAAGTTTAGTGAGGAAGTAATGCTGAAAGTTGAGATAGGCCAAAAGCTAGGCCCTTACACCAACAGCCAAGTTGCAAATACAAAGACAAAGGTCTTGAAGGAAATTAAAAGTGCTACTCCAGTGAACACACCAATGATAAGAAAGTAAAACAGTCTTATTGCTGATATGAAGAAAGTGTGAGGCCAGGCTCACACCTGTAATCCCAGCACTTTGGGAGGCTGAGGCAAGAAGATCACCTGAGGTCAGGAGTTCAAGACCAGCTTGGTCAACATGGTGAAACCTTATCTCTACTACAAATACAAAAATTAGCTGGGCGTGGTGGCACGCCCCTGTAATCCCAGCTACTCAGGAGACTGGGCAGGAGAATCACTTGAACCTGGGAGGCAGAGGTTGCAGTGAGCCAAAATCGTGCTATTGCACTCCACCCTGGGCAACAGAGCGAGACTCCGTCCCAAAAAAAAAAAAAAAAACAAAAAAAAAAAGAAAGAAAGAAAGTTTGAGTCATTAGAAGATCAAACCAGCCACAACTTTTCCCTAAGCTAAAGCCTCATCTAGAGCAAGGCCCTAATTCTCTTCAACTCACTGAATACAGAGAGGTCAGGAAGTTGCAGAAGAAAAGTTTGAAGCTAGCAGAGGTTGGCTCATGAGGTTCAAGGAAAGAAGCCATTTCTATAACATAATAGTGCAAGATGAAGCAGCTAGTGCTGACAGAGAAGCTGCAACAAGTTAACCAGAAGATCTAGCTAAGATCACTGATGAAGATGGCTATGCTAAACAGATTTTCAATGGAGATGAAACCTTCTATTGGAAAAAGGTACCACCTAGGACTTTCATAAGTAGAAAGAAATCAAAGCCTAGCTTCAAGGCTTCAAAGGACAGGCTCACTCTCTTGCTAGGGACTAATGCAGCTGGTAATTTAAGTGGAAGTCATTGCATATTCACCATTCTGAGAATCCTAGGGTCCTTAAGAATTATGCTAAAACTATTCTGCCTATGCTCTATAAATGGAAAACCAAAGCCTAGATGACAGCACATCTATTTACAGCATGGTTTATTGAGTAATTTAAGCCCACTGTTGAGACCTACTGCAGAAAGATTCTTTTGAAAATACTAATGCATATTGATGATGCATCTGATCACCCAAGAGCTCTGTTGGAAATGTACAAGAAGATGAATGTTGTTTTCATGCCTGCTAACATAATATCCATTTTGCAGCCCATTGATCAAGGAGTATTTCAACTTGCAAGTATTCTTATTTAAGAAATACATTTTGGCCAGGCACGGTGGCTCACACCTGTAATCTCTGCATTTTCTGAGGCCAAGGCGGGCAGATCACGAGGTCAGGAGTTTGAGACCAGTCTGGCCAACATAGTGAAAGCCCATCTCTACTGAAAATACAAACAATTAGCTGGGCGTGGTGGTGGGAGCCTGTAATCCAAGGGGAGGCAAGGAGAATCGCTTGAACTAGGGAGGCGAGGAGAATCGCTTGAACCTGGGAGGCAGAGGTTGCAGTGAGCCAAGATCGCCCCACTAAATTCCAGCCCACATTTCGTAAGGCTATCACTGCCATAGATAGTGATTCTTCTGCTCAATCTGGGCAAAGTAAATTGAAAACCTCCCGGAAAGGTTTCTAGAGTCACCATTCTAGAAGCCATTAATAACATCTGTGATTCATGAGAGGAGCTAAAAATATCAACATTAATGGGAGTCTGGAAGAAACAGATCACAACACTAAAGGATGACTTTGAAGGGTTCAAGACTAAGTGGGGGAAGTTAACGGTAGATGTGGTGAAAATAGAGAACTAGAATTAGAAGTGAAGCATAAAGATGTGACTGAATTATTGCAACCTTGTGATAAAACATGGACAGATGAGGAGTTGCTTCCTATGGAGGAGCAAAGAAAGTGGCTTCTTGAGCTGGAATCTACTCCTGGTGAAGACACGGTGAGTATTGTTGAAATGACAATGCAGGATTCAAAATATTACATAAACTTAGTTGACAAAGCAGAAGGAGGGTTTGAAACGACTGACTACAATTTTGAAAGATCTACTATGAGTAAAATGCTATCAAACAGCTCACATGCTACAGGGAAATCTTTCACTAAATAAGCAAATTGATGCAGCAAACTTCATTGTTGTCTCATCTTAGAAACTGCCACAGCCGCTCTCTCCCTCTCCCTCTCCCTCTCCCTCTCCCTCTCCCTCTCCCTCTCCCTCTCCCTCCGTCTCCCTCTCCCCACGGTCTCCCTCTCATGCGGAGCCGAAGCTGGACTGTACTGCTGCCATCTCGGCTCACTGCAACCTCCCTGCCTGATTCTCCTGCCTCACTCTGCCGAATGCCTGCGATTGCAGGCACGCGCCGCCACGCCTGACTGGTTTTGGTGGAGACGGGGTTTCGCTGTGTTGGCCGGGCCGGTCTCCAGCCCCTAACCGCGAGTGATCCGCCAACCTCGGCCTCCCGAGGTGCCGGGATTGCAGACGGAGTCTCGTTCACTCAGTGCTCAATGGTGCCCAGGCTGGAGTGCAGTGGCGTGATCTCGGCTCACTACAACCTACACCTCCCAGCCGCCTGCCTTGGCCTCCCAAAGTGCCGAGATTGCAGCCTCTGCCCGGCCGCCACCCCGTCTGGGAAGTGAGGAGTGTCTCTGCCTGGCCGCCCATCGTCTGGGATGTGAGGAGCTCCTCTGCCTGGCTGCCCAGTCTGGAAAGTGAGGAGCGTCTCTGCCCGGCCGCCATCCCATCTAGGAAGTGAGGAGCGCCTCTTCCCAGCCGCCATCACATCTAGGAAGTGAGGAGCCTCTCTGCCCGGCCGCCCATCGTCTGAGATGTGGGGAGCGCCTCTGCCCCGCCGCCCCATCTGGGATGTGAGGAGCGCCTCTGCCCGGCCGAGACCCCGTCTGGGAGGTGAGGAGCGTCTCTGCCCGGCCGCCCCGTCTGAGAAGTGAGGAGACCCTCTGCCTGGCAACCACCCCGTCTGAGAAGTGAGGAGCCCCTCCGCCCGGCAGCTGCCCCGTCTGAGAAGTGAGGAGCCTCTCCGCCCGGCAGCCACCCCATCTGGGAAGTGAGGAGCGTCTCCGCCCGGCAGCCACCCCGTCCGGGAGGGAGGTGGGGGGGGTCAGCCCCCCGCCCGGCCAGCCGCCCCATCCGGGAGGGAGGTGGGGGGTCAGCCCCCCCGCCCGGACAGCCGTGCCGTCCAGGAGGGAGGTGGGGGGGTCAGCCCCCCGCCCGGCCAGCCGCCCCGTCCGGGAGGTGAGGGGCGCCTCTGCCCGGCCGCCCCTACTGGGAAGTGAGGAGCCCCTCAGCCCGGCCAGCCACCCCGTCCGGGAGGGAGATGGGGGGGTCAGCCCCCCCACCCGGCCAGCCGCCCCGTCCGGGAGGGAGGTGGGGGGGGTCAGCCCCCCCCGCCCGGCCAGCCGCCCCGTCCGGGAGGTGAGGGGCGCCTCTGCCCAGCCACCACCCCGTCTGGGAGGTGTGCCCAACGGCTCATTGAGAACGGGCCAGGATGACAATGGCGGCTTTGTGGAATAGAAGGGCGGGAAAGGCGGGGAAGAGATTGAGAAATCGGATGGTTGCCGTGTCTGTGTAGAAAGAGGTAGACATGGGAGACTTTTCATTTTGTTCTGCACTAAGAAAAATTCCTCTGTCTTGGGATCCTGTTGATCTGTGACCTTGCCCCCAACCCTGTGCTCTCTGAAACATGTGCTGTGTCCACTCAGGGTTAAATGGATTAAGGGCGGTGCAAGATGTGCTTTGTTAAACAGATGCTTGAAGGCAGCATGCTCGTTAAGAGTCATCACCAATCCCTAATCTCAAGTAATCAGGGACACAAACACTGCGGAAGGCCGCAGGGTCCTCTGCCTAGGAAAACGAGACCTTTGTTCACTTGTTTATCTGCTGACCTTCCCTCCACTATTGTCCCATGACCCTGCCAAATCCCCCTCTGTGAGAAACACCCAAGAATTATCAATAAAAAAATAAATTAAAAAAAAAAAAAAAAAAAAAAAAAGAAACTGCCACAGCCACCCCAGCCTTCAGCAACCACTAAGTCAACAGTCATCAACATCAAGGCAAAATCCTCCACCAGCAAAAAGATGGTGACTCACTGAAGGCTCAGATGATCGTTAGCAATTTTTACCAATATTTTAAAATTAATGTATCCACATTGCTTTTTTTAATATAATGCGATTGCACTCTCAATACAGTATAATGTAAACATAACTTTTACATCACTGAGAAATCAAAACATTCATGTGACTCACTTTATTGAGGTATCTGCTCTACTATGACATTTGCTCTATTGTGGTGGTCTGGAACTGAACCTGCAGTATCTCCAAGGTACCCCTGTAGCAGAATAAAATACAGTCGGCCCTCCACATCCGCAGGCTCCACAACTGCAGACTCACCAATTGTGATACTGCATAACAATTATTTACATAACATTTACACTTTACTAGGTATTATAAGTTAACCTAGAGACTATTTAAAGTATATGGGAGAATGTGCATAGGTTATATGCAAATACTATGCCATTTTATATAACAGATCTGAGCATCTGCATATTTTGGTATCCACGGTGTTTCCTGGATACTGAGACAACTGTATGTTTTCATACTTGGAGGTGAAACCACAACTAAAATAAACACAAGTTTATTCAAGAAATAAATATTAACTATGTATCCATTCTGTGCAGGTATTCTGCTAACAACTACTGTCCAAGCTGGACAAGCAAATGAGATACATACTCTAACCTTCCTAGAAGAGCTCATAATCTAATGAGGCCAGGGAATGAAGCTGGATGTAAGAAAACTAATACACAGAAAACAAGACAATTATAACTGATGTGTAAATACACAGATATGCTTTACTTTTTTTCTTCTTCTCTAAACTACTGAGAATTTTATAAGTTTGTAATTGATAAGAGCCCTAAAGATTGTTTTCTGGCAGAAGCGACTAGAATACTTACTAAAAAAGGAATGTTTGGTAGTAGTTGAAGAAGACAGTTTGGCAGATAACTGCTATAATGCTGAAACACAAAAAGTATGACCAAATGCATTTTGTTGTTGGAAAAGCAACAAAATATAATGAGAAGACCAGCGAGGCAACTGTCCCAGACTTCAGTTCAAAGTCTCTTGTCTTAGCTAACCAACAGTGGACAAAATCACTTAACCTCTCAATCTAAATATCAAGATATTTAAAATGGGGCTACTATCTGTCATAACTATTTCACAAGTATACTGTAGGCTCAAATGAGAATATATACAGCAAGCCTGCTTTATAAATTACTAAATGCCACCCAAATGAAAACTATTATTTATTTTAAAACAATCAGTAATCAGGTAGATACACACAACCATATACAAGCATATATACACAAACACATACATAGAGGATTACTATCCAGCAGGACACAGAGCAACAATGATATCCATTATAGAGGTACCTGGACTCTATTTTCTTAAATGTTACAAAGAAAACATTTATCTAAAACATTTTAATTTTAAAAGTATATCTATTTCTTAACATTTAAAGATTAAATCCTATGAAGCAAGAGCTAGAAATTTAACTGAAAATACTTACCTTAACGAAATTGTCAGGGAACATTCCTCTTCTCCCATTTAGTTCTCCTTCCAGCCACCCTTCCTCCTGTAGCTTTTTCACATTCCTGATGATTTCTCCAACTCGAATAGTTAATTCATCATCATGTACAGCATCATAGTCATACTCCACAATATAGTCAACTAAAAAAGGGGGAAAAAACGAAATGTCTAAAATCTAATTCACAAAATACTGTAAACTATATTAATAAATTTAAAACTAAGGAATCTGTTTAGCAACAATATTTAATACCACAAAGACATCAGCAAGGCTGATTTCAATTACTTTAAATATTTGGCTACATCAGCAAATTTCTTGAATATCTTAATATAGAGTACAATACAGCTATTAAGTGGGAGCCTCAAAAGAAAAATAATGCATAATTCATGCCATCAGACACTCTTAACAATCACATGCATATCCTTTGTAGCAGACAGACTCTGAGGTGGTCTCCATGATCCCCACTTCCTCGTATTCATGTCCTTATGTAATTCTCTCTCTTTGACTGCCAATGTGACCTGTGACTGACTTCTAACCAACAGAATATGATGGCAGGGCGTAATGTCTCACTCCTATAATCCCAGCACTTTGGGAGGCCGAGGCAGACAGATCACTTAAACTCAGGAGTTCAGGCCAGGTGCAATAGCTCACATCTGTAATCTCAGCACTTTGGGAGGCCAAGGCAGGCAGATCACGAGGTCAAGAGATGGAGACCACCCCGGCCAACCTGGTGAAACCCCATCTCTACTAAAAATACAAAAATTAGCCCGGCATGGTGGTGGGCGCCAGTAATCCCAGCTACTCGGGAGGCTGAGGTAGGAGAATAGCTTGAACCCAGGAGGCAGAGGTTGCAGTGAGCCAAGAACGTGCTACTGCACTCCAGGCTGGCAACAGAGCGAGACTCCGTCTCAAAAAAAAAAAAAAAAAAACTCAGGAGTTCGAGGCCAGCCAGGGCAACACAACAAAACCCCGTCTCTACAAAAACGCAAAAACCAGCCAGACATGGCAGTGTACACCTGTAGTCCCAGCTACTTTGGAGCACTGCTTGACCCAGGAGGTCAAGGCATTGGTGAGCCTAGCCTGGGCAACAGACTCAAATAAAAAAAAAAAAGATAATGAAAAAGACAATGAATTGTATGTAATTACTTAAGGCTGTAATGCCCATCTTAATAGGAGACTTTTTCCCTTGCTCGCTTTGAAGACACAAGCTGCTATGCTGTAAGCCAACCTATAGAGAGGGCCACAAGCAAGCAACTTAAGGAGGTCTCTGACTGACATCAGGAAACTGAGGCCCTTACTCCAACAACCCAAAAGTAAATGAATGATACAAACTAACACATGAGCTTGGAAGCAGACCCTTCCCCAGTAGAGCCCCAAATGTGAACCCAACCCTGGCCACCATCTTCAGTGCAACCTTGAAGAGGATCCAGCTGGCCATGCCCAGACTCTTAAACCACAGAAACTATTAGCTAATAAATATATATAGTTCTAAACTACTAAGTTTGTGTTACTATTGTATGTAAAAACAGAAAACAAACTCTAAAATGAAGATTAATATGTATTTATTTTACCTCTTTTAATAACAGGATTTTAGATTATAGGATCACATAAGCATATTTTTAATATTTTACAAGGTTCAATTTTTAAAAAGCAATAACAGCTTTCCTGCTCAAGATAGCAGACTAGCCATATCCCCATTCATCTTTTCTTCCTCCTACAAGACTGACTAAAAAGAAAATACACACACACACACACACCAACAACCACAACAACAATCACAACCACCACCACCAAAAAAAAAAAGGAAAGTGAGTATGACCAGACACTGTTGTTTGTTAAGCCAAGTGCCATTCCCACATTGCCCATTCCCCTCCTTCCTTTCTCATAGAACCTTAATTCTGTTCAGTATTTTGAGACCCTGTACTTTACAGGCGAAGATTCTCTCAGCCCCAGGGAGTTACATATTCACTAGTCTAGGTATGTACTTCTCAGACACTAAGTACAATCAGGTCAGCTGAAAAACCTTGTTTAAATGCCAACTACAGTTGAGCAGGTGCCAGGATATCTAACTGCCAAAGAGGCAAAGGTCTACAGATAGTCTATGTATAGCAACCTTAATCACATACAATTAAACATACACAGTGAATGGTTTTCAAATAAGCATGAGATGAAGGAATTCTTTTTATTTTTATTTTTTAAATAGAGATGGGGTCTGGCTATATTACTCAGCCTGCTCTCAAACTCCTGGGCTCAAGCGATCCTCCCACCTCACCCTCCCAAAGTGCTAGGATCACAGGCGTGAGCCACCATGCCCAGCTGAGATGAATGAATTCTTTCTTCTGGGAAGGTTTTATTTGACTTTAAAAACAAAACACAGGCCAGGCTCAGTGGCTCACGCCCATAATCCCAGCACTTTGGGAGGCGGAGGCAGGCGGATCACAAGGTCAGGAGATCAAGACCATCCTGGCTAACATGGTGAAACCCCATCTCTACTAAAAATATAAAAAATTAGCCAGGCGTGGTGGCAGGCGCCTGTAGTCCCAGCTACTCAGGAGGCTGAGGCAGGAGAAATGGCGTGAATCCGGGAGGCGGAGGTTGCAGTGAGCCAAGATTGTGCCACTGCACACCAGCCTGGGTGACAGGGCAGGACTCCGTCTCAAAAAAAAAAAAAAACCAAGGAAGGAATGGCCTCCTGCAGACTCTGGATGTTCTTTAATGAGAATTTGATACCTACAATTGCTATAACCACTTGAGACCAGAAAAACAGCGGATACTTAATTAACGTGGAGGAGAAAAAAGATGAAAATAACCTGGATCTTTGCTGGATTCATCAAACTGCTAGATTAACCACCTTTAACTATAATACCTTCAGATTCGTTACATGAAGTAGTTTCTTAACGTTTAAGTAAATTTTAGACAGGATTTCTATTTACAGCTGAAAACATCCCAACATGATAAGGGACCCGGCAAGAAATTTTAACAAATGTCTGAAAGGGGATGCACAGCTGATAAAGCCAAGAAGAGGAAGCCTAGAGAACCTAAGGGAGCTATAAATGAAATACCAAACTGCTCTGTAGACCTCAAAAAGACCAGAAATTCAGAAAACGTAGGCTCACATGAAATGCATGCAGGGCTAAAACAGGGAAATTACTCAATCTCTATATCAACCACAGTAATTCAACGAGATAAAATGCTAAATAGTATGGCATTTTCCTTCCAAGGCAAAAAACTGAAGGGTTAATCTACAAAAAAATAAAAAATAGCTTAGGAAAACTAGTACAGCTATTATGGATGAATGCTGGTTTCTCAGAGCAATGAATACTGAGAAATGTAGAGGTCCCCAAAGCAATGGGCAGTTCCTGACTTGCTAATTCCAAAATAAAATTCTTAACTCCTGCAGGGGCAGTGGCTCACGCCTGTAATCCCAGCACTTTGGGAGGCTGAGGTGGGTGGATCACCTGAGGTCAGGAGTTCGAGACCAGCCTGGCCAATATGGTGAAACCCAGTCTCTACTAAAAATACAAAAATTAGCCGGGCGTGGTGGCATATGCCTGTAGTCCCAGCTACTCAGGAGGCTGAGGCAGAAGAATGGCTTGAACCCGGGAGGCGAAAGTTGCAGTGAGCCGAGGTCGTGCCACTGCGACAGAGCAAGACTCTGTCTCAAAAACAACAACAACAACAACAACAAAACTCTTAACTCCTACCCACATAAACAGAGTTCCCAGTTAGCTTTTTATTCATTTATTATTTACTCTTAAAATGCGCAGACAATAGTTGATCATGAAAGACCCATCATAAACTGGAAAACTACCAGGAGAAAGGGTAAGTAAGGGTGGGGAGTAACAACAGAGATGGGAGAATGGTTACATGCAGGAAGACTAATCAAACTGTAAATATTTGAAGGATAATGGAAGCCAAGTTTCTCCATGTCAGAGAAAGGAGTTACAAGCATATATGGAAAAAGCTACTTTCAATCCTGTGATACTGATTTGTAATAAGCAGTATCAGCATGAACTTAACAGTTTTCAATACGTAACATGGAGAAATAAACAGATATATGTATACATGTATGTATACACAGATACACATATATTCAACACACACACACACACACATGCACATACACCCTAGCTCTGTCCAACTAATGGACCTGAAACCAGCAACATCCCAATGGTAATGAGAAAACCAAATGCCACGACTTCATAAATACCACCTACTACTAAAAGGAATCAGGACTCTTTAGGAAAATGGCCAATTCCAAGGCTAAGCAGGAAAAGTATAAGATTAGCCTGGAACATTTTGTTGTGCCAGAAAGTAAGGAAGTTATCAAAAAAAATGAAATGGTATCAAACTGACCCACAGAAGTGATATCAAAAGGGTTCTTACTGGCCAAATCAGGACATTTTGAGCATCAAAATAATGAAATTAAAAGAATATACCCCATCGAATAAAATAAGCCATGAGTCCATACAGATTACAAATCAATGTTAATTTCTTAAATGTTATGGTTGTATTGTGATATGGTCCTGGTTTGTTAAAAATACACACTAAAATACTTGGATGAAAGATATCAGTCAGGAAAAAAATGATTTGTACTATACATCTAACATTTCTACAACTTCATGATTATTTCAAAATTAAAAAGTTAAAATACACACACAAATGTATATCCTCAAGAGATGTAAAGTTTCTAAAAGAACAGAATGCTATAAAATAAGAAGTGAGAAAATTAAAAAGTTTTTAAAGTTTATGTCTTCCAAAGTATCTTACTGTTTTTTGAAGAGGCAGAGATAAATCCAAGAAAATGTTCCAAAACAGGTAAAACAAAGGCACAAAGAAAAAGATGAAAATAAGGAAAAGGCCCAATCAATCCAACATCCAATTAACAGAAATTCAAGGAGAAAAAAACGGGGAATTAACCATGAAATAATACAAGAAAATAATCCTAAAACAATCTTCAAATGGAAACAGGTCTGTGAGAATCCAATGAAATGAACAAATTTTAAAACGTATTCATATTCGGTGCAATTTCATAATAACAATAAACGATCCTAGAAAGCTCTCTGACAGGAAATAAAAATTTCATCTACAAAAGATTGAGAATCATCTTGGAACACTTCTCATTGGCAATACTGGATTCTAGAAAAAGAAAAATTAAAAGTCACTGAAGTATTGAAGGAAAATTAATTGCATACTCTGCCAAATCAGCAGGCAAGCATAGGATATAACATTTTCACACATGCAACAATAAAGAAAATTAACTCTCACATATGAAATTACATAATGTTATCCAGCAAAATTAAAATATGAACCAAAACAGAGGAAGACATGAAATCCAAGAAATTGTGGCACCAACCTCAGAATAAAATAAGTACTAAATTTGCAGCTGCGCAAAATTAAAATATGAACCAAAACAGAGGAAGACATGAAATCCAAGAAATAGTGGCACCAACCTCAGAATAAAATAAGTACTAAATTTGCAGCTGCGCAACAAATCTAAGGAACAAACAGTCTATACTAAACGGGAGACAAAAAGTTCTAGGAGGTATCTGAGAGAAAAGCAGCATGGGGCACAAACTGTAAAACTGTATGCTATCCTTACAAATCTGGAACTCAGAGACAAGAAAGTCAGTTAAGGACAAAAAACTAAAGATGATTAGAAACTTTTGGAAAGGCAAAGAACTGTAAAATGCTCAAAATATAATTGTCCGGGTGCAGTTGCAGCTCACACCTGTAATCCCAACACTTTGGGAGGTTGAGGTGGGTGGATCTCTTGAGCCCAGGAGTTCAAGACCAGCCTGGGCAACATGGCAACCCCCATCTCTACAAAAATACCAAAAAAATGTAGTCAGGAGTAATGATAACGCACCTACAGTCCCAACTACTGGGGAAGCTGAAGTGAGAGGATGGCTTGAGTGAGAGAATGGCTTGAGTCCAGAAGGTGGAGGCTGCAATGAGCAGAGATCGCACCACTGCACTCCAGCCTGGGCAACAGATCAAGACAGGAAGGACAGAAAGGAAAGGAAAAAGGGAAGGCGACAGGGAAGGAGAAGGGGAAGGGGAAGGGGAAGGGGAGGGAAGGGAAGGGAAAGGAAAGGAAAGGAAAGGAAAGGAAAAAGGGAACGGGAACAGGAAAAGGGAAAGGAAGGGAAAAAAGGAAGGGAAGGAAAGGAAAAAAGAAAAGGAAAAGGAAAGGAAAGGAAAAAGGGGAAAGCAAAAAGGGGAAAGGAAAAATATAATCATATGTACTACTTGGCTTCACAGTAAAAAAAAAACACGACATGGTCATAATAATGTGAAAGTAATTATTTTAACTTTGACAATCAAATTATCGTACAGCAAAACAAAAGGACTAAATTATGGTTGTAGAACAAAATAGAAATGTTAACAGCCTTGATATTATAAAGGATAATAATTCCGAAAAAGAATTGAGAGAGGGAGGTTCGTAAAGGAAAGAGTAAAGGGATGAATATCATTATCATACAAAGTGCTAAGTCCACAAATACACTATTAGTTGCTAGAAAAAGAAATAAAAGTATAAACCCTTACTATGTTCAGATAAAGAGAAAACATGAGATTATAAATAAGCAAGCTAAATATTTTCAAGTTAAAAATAAACCAAAATCAACAACAGAAACTAATTATTTAGAAAGATGAAAGCCAAAACATTAAAACAGATAGATTTAGACAGTGGTTTCCCTATGGAGAATGAGAATAGAAGCAGAGAACAATGAGGCAAGGAAATAGTGTTTGTAAGTCATTTAGTATTTTTTATATTTGTATATCACGTGCAGGAATTACTTTGACAAGATTTTTAAGCAGTAAATATTAAAGTGGTTTGTTCAATATTACAGCAAAAATGTTTATAGCACCACATAACTGCATACATCTGTGATAATTAAGAAGTTCATTGACTCAAAGAAAATCTATTTTATTTCCCTTAGAGAAAATGCCATATGGTAAATAGGGTTAAATTCCCTGCTCTTTTAAACTTATTCATAATTAAGTTTGTAATATTAAACTGCAAAAAGTGAAAGACAAAGAGGAAAGAAAATCGTAAAACAAAGGTTATCAAAGAAGCAACATTCAGACTAATGGGTGACTTAGCAACAACGATGGGAGCCAGAAGGAAGCAGATTAGTATCTTAAATGTGTGGAAAGAAAATACCTACAAATCTTAAACTCTCTACACCCAAGAAAATATCCTTTAAAAAAGAAGAAAAAATAAGGACACTTCTGACAAGCCAGAAGTGGGACTTTGCTACACAAAAAGAAAACTCTGATGGATGTTCTCTGAGAACAGCAAAGGAAAGGAAAAAGATTAAATATGAAGTATCAGCAATGTAGAAAAGAAAGGAAAAACAAAAGAAGTGGTAAGTATACAGGTATAAAAACACCAAATGAATAAAAACAGTAACATCATATAGGAAATTAAAAATACAGAAAAATTAAAATAACAGAACCAGTAACAAAGTTGGGAGTTAAAATTGTTCCAAGATCCTTGTATGGTATAAGAGAGTAAAGTTATTAACATCAGGTTTTTATAAGTTGAGAATGCATGTAGTGATCACTAAAATAACAGAAAAAGCATAAAAACGCCAAAAATTGTGGGGAGAAAGAACAAACAAATTTTTAAAATACTCAACTGGCAGTTTCAGCTCCAACAAGTAAAAAGCTTTAAAGTCATCACTCCCACCCTTACAAGAAAAAGGCTAAACCAACTGAAAATCATTTAATTTCCTTGGACCCATTAGAAAATTGAGGACACAGAGCAAACTACCACCTAAAGATACAGACAGGAGGCAGGTAAAGCCAGAGAGTCACGGACGAGATCTATTTATTACCTAGAGTAGAAGCTGCTGGAGCCATAAATTAGCAGGAACACTAGTAGTCTCCTACAGCAGTTGTAACAAACCATCACAAAGTGGGTAGCTTGAAAGAAATTTATTCTCCTCTTTCGGGAGGCGAGAGGGCAAAATCAAGGTATCAGCAGGGTTAGTTCTTTCTGGAGACTCTGAAGAATCACTCCATGCCCCTATCTGGCTTCTGGTGGCTGCCAGCAATTTTTAGTGTTCCTTTGCTTACGTAACTCCAACCTCTACCTCCATCTTGACGTGACTGTTCCACTGTTACGTCTCCATCTCAAATCTCACCCTCTCCTTACTCTTTTCCAAGGACACCAATCATTCAATTTATTAAGAATTTCTTCATCTCGAAATCCTTAATCACACCTGAAAAGACTATTTCTCTCTCTCTTTTTGACGCAAAGCCTTACTCTGTCACCCAGGCTGGAGTGCAATGGAGTAATTTCGGCTCACTGCAGCCTCCACCTCCCAGGTTCAAGTGATCCTCCCACCTCAATCTCCTGAGTAGCTGGGACTATAGGGGTGCACCACCATGCATGGCTAATTTTTTGAAATTTTTTTGTAGAGACATGGTCTCATTATACTGCCCAGACTTGTCTCGAACTCCTTGGCTCAAGTGATCCTCCAATTTGGCCTCCCAAAGTACTCAGATTACAACAGGCGTGAGCCACCATGCCCAGCCAACTATTTCTAAATAATGTAACATTTACACGTATGAAGGGCTAAGACTCAGACATACCTTTTTTGAGGATAAAAATTCAATCCAGTACAAACACTTAAATGGTAATTTTGATGACTTGCTGGAGGCTGACTGTGGAATAGCATGAAAGTGGGAAACTCCTAGGAGAATGCTGTCCTATGGGGGAGTCCCCACACTATTGTGGGTTTTATGGTACTGCCAGATTCTCACAGTAAAGAGCCAAGAAGGATCCCCTTATAGTTCTGGCAAGGAGGAAAAGAAAAGTAACCACTGCGAAATACAACCTGAGTATTCTCTGTAACAAAGGCCTACACTCCAAGGGAAAGACTGTCAGGGGCTGTATACCACCTAGGAATGGGAATTTCCCTGATTTAAGTCCACTCCACAGCTCCAGGACATCGATCCACTAAAAAACAGAGATTTAATAATTAAGATTATAATAGTATATTTCCCCTTTCCCACATGCTACCACCATATCAATGAGGCTCCAGTATTTACAGCTGAAAAAGCTGCAAGATACAGATTCTATCTGAGAAAGAGTTCTTAGGGAAACCCAAAGAAAGCAAGGAAGACAAAAACAAAGACACTACAGGAATGTGAACCCCCTGGCACCTACAGCTAGAGCAAATATTAAACACAATCCAACTCCTAGGCAGATAAATATAAATCCTCACACTAACGATTTAACTACCGCAGTTCCTATTACCTAATATGACATATCCAGCCTTCAAAAAATTTCAAGTCATGCTAAGAAGGCAAGAAAAAGCAAGTCTAAAGAGACAAAGCAAGCATCTGAACCCGACTCAGATACAACACATTTTTTTTAGTTATCTGACAGGAAATTTAAAATAACTATGATTAATATGCTAAGGGTGATAACATAAAAAGCAGACAACATGTAAGAAAAAAATGGATATGGTAAGCACATAGAATCTCTAGAAAAGAAACAGAAGGAAAAGCTGGAAATCAAAAACACTGTAACAAATAATCGACAACACTGATGCATTCATCAGTAGACTATACATAGCCAAGGAAAGAATCAGTAAGCTTGAAGAGAGGTCAAAAGAAATTTTCCAAACTGAAATGCAAAGAGAAAAAGAATTATAAAAAACAAAAAAATCCCAGGACAGAACATCCAAGAACTGTGAAAAACTTCAAGAGGTATAAACACACGTAATTGGAATTCCAGAAGATGGGGAAACAGAGCAGAATATATGAAATAATAATGGCTAAGAATTTTCCAAAAATAATAAGGTACACCAAACCACACATCCGGAAAACTAAGAGAACAAAATTAGGATACAAACAAAAAAAACTACACCTAGATGTATCACATTTAATGGAAGAAAATCAAAGGCAGAGAAAATCTTTAAAGAAACCATCACAAAATATCACCCTACCTATTGAGGAACAAGGATAAGAATTACAGCAGGCTTCTCATCAGAAAACATGAAGGCAAGAAAGGATGGAATAAAATATTTAAAGCATTGGAAAAAAAAAAAACACCAACCTAGAAATCTGTATCTAGTAAAATTATCCTTAAAAGGGAAAGAGAAATAAAGACTTTTTCAAACAAAAACAAGAATTCATTGCCAACAGACCCAACACAAAAGACATGTTAAAGGAAGTTCTTCAGAGAAAATGAAAATTATACAGGTCAGAAACTCAAATCAATATGAAGAAGAAGCATAGAAGGAATAAATGAAGATAAAACAAAATACATTTTTTATTCTTAATTGATCTAAAAGATAACTGCTTAAAAGTCATAATAGTAACAATGTATTGCATGATTATAGCATATGAATAGATGAAATTAATCAATGTCTTAAGGGACAAGAGGAATAAGGAATACTCTATGGTACCAGCACTACACATGAAGTGTTGCAGTGTTATTTAAAGCTGAATTTAACATTAGTTATAAATGTATACTGCAAACTCTAGGGCAAGCACTAAAAATAAAAATTAAGTATAATTGAATGTTAAAAGAGGACATAAAATGGAATCATATAAAACACTCAAAGAAAACAGAAAAATGGAAAAAAAATAATGCAACCAAAAACTGTTATTTGAAAACATCAATAAAATCAATAAATCTCTAGAAAGAATGACCAAGGGGAAAAACAGAAGGCCCAGATTACTTATATCAGGAATAAAAGACAGAGTATCTCTACAGACCTTACATTTATTAAAACAATAAGGAAAAAGCATAAACAAGAATGTACACACAGAGGCCAGGCACAGTAGCTCACACCTGTAATCCCAGGCGGGAGGATAACCTGAGGCCAGGAGTTCAAGGCCAGCCTGGGCAACATAGCAAGATGCTATCTCTACAAAAAATAACAACAGGTGTGTGGGGCAGCACCTATAGTCCTAGCTACTTGGGAGCCTAACGGGGGAGGATCACTTGAACCCAGGAGTTTGAGGTTGCAGTGAGCTACAATCACACATTTGCACTCCAGCCTGGGAAACAGAGCAAGACCCTGTCTCAAAAAAAAAAAAAAAAAAAAAAAGATTACAGGTGTGAGCCACCAAACCCAGCCTTCCATGTACCAAAAAGGCACCATCTTTGAACTTTCCTCACTAGACACCAAATTTGCCAGTGCCTAGATGCTGGACTTTCCAGCCTGTGAGCAATAAATTTCTGTTGTTCATAAATTACCTAGTCTAAGGTATTTTGTCATAGCAGCTTGAAGGGATTATGATAGAAATTAGTAACAAAACTGTGTAGAGAGGAGAAATTTCTAAACTTAAAGTAAAACGGTCAAAGTTTCAAAGTAACTAAACTGGAAACAGACAGTAAATACTTGCAACAAACAACACAATGAATTAAAAGCATTTATAAGAACCAAAAAAAGGAAATCTCGACTGAAAACAGGTAAAAGAAAGTAAAGTACATTACTTAAAATGAAGTACAGCAAACTCTAAGAACTTAATCCTTACCTAAAAAGAAAAAAGTTTTGCTTAACTTGGTTCTGTTTGGGGGTGCTGGTGAGGTATTCTTTTAATGGGTTTACTAGTTGTTAATAACTTTTTTAAAAAAAATCAGTATTTAAACAAAAAGGATATCTGAAGATCAAGCTTAAAAATCTTAAAATCCATAATTTTTTTAAATTATTACATGCAAAAATATTGGTGGCAATATTATAAAAGATTTTCTACTAGTCTGCTTTAATAAATATGCATTATTTTGACAATAAAAAATCACTTCAAAAAAATAAACAATTTACACAAATTCCAAATAGGCATAAGTTGTATGGGCATTGACTACAGAATGTTTACTTTTAATTCTGGTCAACACAATACAGATAAATATCACAATGGCATCTAACTGAGTCTGTCAAATTAACCTTCTCTATATTATATCACTGATCACAGTATACTATTGAGTGTTAACCTTTATTATAGCAGATGACAAAATATTAAAAATTACACAAAAATTAACAAAAATATATTTCAGTATAAGATAAAAAATTACAAGCTTTACTCTCAAAGTAGTAGGAATATGATGAAAATACTTTAATGGTTCCACTTATTTCCTGATTTTATATATATTACACACACACACACACACACACACACACACACATACACACACACATATCAGGAAGAAAGAAATATATGTATTTACTTTTTATTCCCAGGGCTAAGTATTTCTTACCACAAACAAAAAGGCTTTACCATAAATTATTCCCAGAACGAAATATTTATTCTTTACCATAAATAGAGAAACGCAAAACTGATTAGCATTGCTTAATGTCATTAACTAATAACATTTCATTATTTAAGTCCTCTAAAGTTAGGTACCAGATCCATTAGTCAAAATACTACTAATAAAAAGCACAATATCATCCTAAAGTCCTTTTAATTATATATTAGAAATTCCGTCATTTATTTTCTCAAGCTTGTTAAATATGGAATGATAAGCAGCATTTCTTACATGTTTTTCAACAGAGATAAGTAAATCTAGTCATTCTTAAGATAGTGAACAAACTGCACACAAAACCCACCCTTCCTCTTTGTACTTCAAATAGCATACAAAGGTTTGCATAGTACAATACACTCTTAGCACATATCCAAAGAGAAAAAGAGAAGGAAATTTGATATAAGGAAATTTTTACACAGTATTATATTCTTCCTAATGTTACTAAATTAGAATAAGTGACAGATATCCACCAAAAAAACTTAATCAAAGTTTAAAAAACAAAAAAGATTTTTATCTCAAAGACTGATTACCTGAGACAGTTCTAAAAACAAAGAAATTACCACGTACATGTGATTAATCACTTGTCCTAAAATAATAAATCTTAAAAACAAAAAACATACAAAAATCTAAAGAGCAAACAAGTTGGAAAATTCAATTAAATATTATCATTCTTCATCTTCCCACTATTAACTTCAAGAAAACACTAGAAATTATTTTTAAGCATGTTTCAAGCAGATCAAAAAAAATACCATATGAATAGCCATCATAAAGTTTTATAGAACTCACCAAAAAACAACTCTAGGAAAACTTTTGGGTATGTAAGTAAAAGACCAATGTGTAACAGTTAAAATTTGTTAAAAGTCTCTTAAGAGGCCAGGCATAGTGGCTCATGCCTGTAAACCCAGCACTTTGGGAGGCCCAGGTAAGAGGACTGCTTGAAGCCCAAGAGTTTAAGACCAGCCTGGGCAATATGGCAAGACCCTATGTCTACAGTTTTTGTTTATTTTTTTAAATTAGCCAGGTGCGATGGCACATGCCTTAGTCCCAGCTACTCAGGAGACTAAGGTGGAAGGATTACTTGACCCCAGGAGGTCAAGGTTGCTGTGAACTATGATAGTACCACTATACTCCAGCCTAGGCGACAGAGCAAGACCCTGTTCCTTTAAAAAAAAAAAAAAAAAAAAAAAGTCTCTTTAGAGAAAATAGTTACTCAAACGAATACCAATCCACAGTTTTTAGAAGATAAATATTTAAATTTCTTTATTTTTTAAACCACACTAGGAGAGTCTGAAGGTCATATTACTTGCTCTGTTTAACTCAACAATCTTCCTTCTCAAAATGTTTTAAGATATAATTAAGAGGACGAGTTTTAAAATGAGAACAATGAAAGTTTGATTCTGTCTCCTCCACATCTTACCTCTGACTTGGACAAGTAACAATCCCTCTAACTTCATTTCCTGAACCTGAAGAATGGGAAGACTAATGTTTTACCTCATATTCTTGTGGGGAACCGAATGCTCCGTACATTCAGCCTAGCATAGTAAGAATTCCCTAAATGCTAGTAACTAAGTATCAACTGAAAATGAATTTTAAAATTACCAAAAAATGGGAAGTTGCTATGTAAGAACTTCCCTCAGTTTCCAAACAGACCTTTATTTTTTAAAAAACTAGTCGAGTGCAGCCGGGCACGGTGGCTCATGCCTGTAATCCCAGCACTTTGGGAGGCCGAGGCGGGCAGATCACCTGAGGTCAGGAGTTCGAAACCAGCCTGGCCAACATGGTGAAACCCCATCTCTACTAAAAAAATAATAATACAAAAATTAGTCAGGCGTGGTAGCAGGTGCCTGTAATCCCAGCTACTCAGGAGGCTGAGGCAAGAGAATCGCTTGAACCCAGGAGGTGGAGGTTGCAGTGAGCCGAGATCATGCCATTGCACTCCAGCCTGGGGGACAAGAGCGAGACTTCTCAAAAAAAAAAAAAAAAAAAAAAACTAGTTGAGTGCAGTAATGAAAAGCAGGGAAGAGTAGAAAAAAGTTCAATCTGTAACTGACTAAGCAATCGAGATAACTCACTACCTGAGGACCAACCTAAAGATTTTTAAAACATAATTAAGTTATATAGACAACTACAAGAACTTGTAAGAACAGCAGCAGTAAGAATCATTAAAAATTCAGAAGTAATCACTTGAGTTTCTCCATGGTTCTAAGCATCCACCCAAAATAAACACGTACAAAAAACAAAAACCTAAATTATTAATTTTTTTTTTAAGAAAGACTCACTCAGTTGCACAGGCTGGAGTGCAATGGCACAATCATGGCTCGCTGTAGCCTCGACCTTCCAGGCTCAAGTAATGCTCTCACCTCAGCCTCCCAAGTAGCTGGGACTACAGGGGTATGCCACCACACCTGGCTATCTCTTTTTTTTTTTTTTTGGAGAGATGGAGTCTTGCTTTGTTGCCCATGCCGGTCTCAAACTACTAGTCTCAAGCAATCCTCCTGCCTCAGTAAATTCTTATAATCAAAAAATATTGAGCACTTGAAATGTGGCTAGTCCAAACTGAAATGTTATATAAATGTAAAATATACATCAGATGTCAAGATTTCTTTCATATATAAGAAAAAATGTAAGCTATCTCATTAATAACTTTTTATACTGAATACATTATGAAATAATGTACTTTCTTTAAACCAACATACATTCAAAATATTATTAAAATTAATTTCACATGTTCCTTTTTAAATGTAGCTACTAGAAAATTTAAAATTACACATATGTAACAACTCAGTATGTCTCAAAGTATATGTATACTTGCTTCACAACACCTACCTTAAAGATTTTATAATTTTACAGTTCAAACATTAAGTTATTTTGAACAAACTCTTTAAGCTAAAAATTAAGCCTTTATGCCTAAATGTGTTTAACATGTTAAATTGGAGACTCATACAGAAATGTCTCTCTCTGCCAAACTTTCCCTTTATTTATACACACGGAGTAGGTAATCAGCAGATTCACCTGACAAGATGCTTAACATCACTGATTATTGATTCTCTATTAAAGGGACTTAAGAGCTTCAATGAACCACACAGAAAGAATTAAAGAGTTTATTTCTTAAAAAAAAAAAAAAAAAAAGGATCTCATCCATTATCTTGAAACAGTAATTTCATTAGGCAACATCCTATTAGTCTGTTTTAGGTGGATATATTTCAATATATTTAAATTTTGTATTGTTAGGTTGGCCCTCTCTACCCAATTACTCCAAATTAAAGTATTACTGAATCAGACTTAGTGGATACATAGCAGGCTCCTAATTTTCTGCTAGTCAATACAAGTGTTAAATTTTGTAAATACAATAAAATAAGTGATATGGTCTCCAGCATCAATGAGCTCAGATCAAGTAAGGTCATTTACACACTAAGAGAATAACAAAGAAGTTTTGTTTTGTTTGTTTGTTTGTTTGTTTGTTTTGAGACAGAGTCTCGCTCTGTCACCCAGGCTGGAGTGCAGTGGCGCGATCTCAGCTCACTGCAAGCTCCACCTCCCGGGTTCATGCCATTCTCCTGCCTCAGCCTCCCGAGCAGCTGGGACTACAGGCGCCCGCCACCATGCCCGGCTAATTTTTTGTATTTTTAGTAGAGACGGGGTTTCTCCGTGTTAGCCAGGATGGTCTCGATCTCCTGACCTTGTGATCTGTCCGCCTCGGCCTCCCAAAGTGCTGGGATTACAGGCGTGAGCCACCGCGCCTGGCCAAGAAGTTTTTATTTAAGTTTTAAACTATGAAGTTGTAAGCATAAGTTCAACTGCATTTTGTAATATATAATCCATATAGGAATTTAGAATAATTTTGTGAGAAAAAAGGGCTAACTTGAGATTTGAAACACAGCCTTTTATTTCCATTTGACACGCATTCTGAAAATTTAACAAATTTATTTTCATCATTAAAAAAATTGTTTTGATCTGCTTCCTAAAATATGTTTGTTAAGAATGGCCAAATTAGTAGGTAAGTAAAAATGAATTCTTCCTCTTAAATGGCTGTGCACAAATGCCCACACATACACCAAAACAGTCAGGCAAAATACTCATCAGACTGCAACCTGCTACAGCACAACAGGAATTTTTAATTAAAGTTAAATGCAAAACTTGGATCTCAGGAGAACGTACTTCTAAATAAACCAAAAGTTGTTTCTAACACAAAGAATGAGAAAATCCCTAGAGAATAGTATATACATTTAAAAGACCAACTTTAAATGTCCCCCAAAAACACTCTAACCAAGACTATGTAGTCTCAATTTTACAAATACAGTATATGAGCTTCTACATTTACAATCCAAAACACTGTGGCCCTTTATTATTACAATAATCGTGATAAATGCTCCAGGAATGACATTTTTAAAGTCAGTCTAGATGTTAGGTAAATTTCCAGACTCTTCATTATTGGAACACTGATAGGACAGTAAGAAGGATAAGACAGTTTTAATATTTCAGGTAAAAGTACACATCTGAAAGGATCAGCTCAAGAGAAGGCTTACTTCATTCTAAAGACTCTTTGCCAGAAGTGGAGGAAAAAATACCTTAACTACTGCCAGTACTCAGTATATCATCACTGGTCAAACTAATGAGAGATGAATAAATCCCATTTCCTTCAGTGCAGGAATCTATATTCTAATATTCCATATGCTTCTCCTACTACATTTTAACATTTCTGACACTGACCCTATACTCTCTCTCTCGTTTATTTTTCTAATGGATTCACATACTAACTTTCATTGTTATTATGTTGTCTTATTCCTATCACATAAGCCATCCCAACACATTCATGACATTCATCAAAAACTGGAGGGAGGGAGAGGCAGAAGCATTTATGTCAGAACCCAGGGGTTGTGAGAAGTTTAAAACAAAAATGTGATTCTAATAATATGCCCAATCCTTAACACTTGTAAACTACTCAAGGCACCAAAACTTTTATTTATCCTAAACCCCCAAGCATTTAACATGACATTAATCACATTCCTCACATTAAGGAAAATACTGATTGATTAAACTCTCACCAGCAGCTTCTTTGCTTGATGATGTGACCTTGTGACAGGCCCTTTTTCTTAATATTGGTGTTAACTGTAACTATCACCACACTTAAAAGTGCAGTTATGCATCACTTAACAATGGGGATGCATCTTAGGAAATGTGTCATTAGGCAATTTGGTCCATGTGTGAACATCATAGAGTGTACTTAAACCTAGATGGTACAGCCCACTACATGCCTAAGCTATAGGGTATAGCCTATTGCTCCTAGGCTACAAAACTGTACAGCATGCTATTGTACTCAATACTGTAGGCAACTGTAACACAATGGTTAAGTATCTGTATATTTAAACATAAAAAAGGTATAGTAAAAATACAGTATAAGTAATAAAAATGGTACACCTACATAGGGTGTACCTACCATGAATAGAGATTACAGGACTGGAAATGGCACTGGGTGAGTCAGTGAGTGGTGAGCAAATGTGAAGGCCTAGGACATTAGTATACACTACTATAGATTTTATAAACACCATACACTAAAGCTAACTACATTTTTTTATTTCTTTCTTTCTAATTTTCTTTCAAAATTAACCTTAGCTTACTATAACTTTTTACTTTATAAATTTTTTAACTTTTTTGTAATAACATTTAGTTTACAACACCAACACATTGTATAGTTGTACAAAAATATTTTCTTTCCTTATATTCATATTCTATAAGCTTTTTTCCATTTAAAAATTCTTTCTTTTTTAATCCTTTTTCTTATAAGACACAAACACACATTAGCCTAGGCCTGCAAAGATCAGGATCATCAATATCACTGTCTTCCATCTCCATATTTCATCCCACTGGTGAAAAACGTGCATAGGGCTGTCATCACCTACGATAACAATGCCTTTTTCTGGAATACCCCCTGAAGGACCTGCCTGAGGATGTTTTACAGTTAACTTCTTTTAATAAGTAGAAGATGTACTCTGTAAAATAACAATTAAAAAACATAGTAAATACATAAGCCAGTAACACAGCCATTTATTATCAATATATGTACTACATATAAATGTATGTACATGCTATACTTTTATACAACTGGTAGTGCGGGTTTGTTGACACCAGCATCATCACAAACACAGTGAGTAACGCGTTGCACTACTATAGTGTGGGATGGCTACAACTCACTAGGGAAGAGGAATTTTCTAGCTTCATTATAATCTTAGGGGACCACCACCCTATGTGTGGTTTATTATTGACCAAAACATTCCTAAGGGGCTCATGATTGCATTCTACTAGAAACCCCTAATGATTACAGTCACTCCCTTGGAATTATCTGGACGCTGAATCATCAAAAAGAACCTAAGCTAAGAGGCACTAATAAGGCACTAAAACAGATACTGGAATCCAGGCTCCCATGCTAGTCATCTCTTTTGCAAATGAGTTGAGAAACTGAACAAGATCATGATGGGAAGTTTAACAAGCTACATAATATTTGAAAGATTATAAAATACAAGTCTACTGGAGCCACTGGAAAGGACAGGTTCTAGGAAAGAAAAAATCGATAACAATACCTGACACTGGAACAACATCTTAAGCCAGTATCAATTTAGAATAGTGAATTGTTTTAAAAGCATTGTTTATTCTAGGATAAAAGCACCTTTAAGTGCAAACAATTAGTAAATATGCTTTCAGTAAATCAAATAGGGTTCAGTGAAAATGGTCAGGAAGAGTGTAGAACATCTAGGAAGCTGAGACCTTCAGAAACAAAAACCAAAACATAACAAAAAAAAAAAAAAGAGGTAATATCAAGTTTAGTCCAAAGAAAACATTTAGGAGCCCAGAAGGAAAATGCCTACTTCATTTGTGGTTAAAACCAAGGTTATGATTCAAAAATGAGTACAGCATGGTCTCAGGTTAGTGAAGTCCCAATAAAATTTTATCTGTTTAAGAGACATAATAAATGTCTCTACTGTGAGCTACTGTCTAAAGATCTACCTAACGTAAGCCAAAATAAACAAAAGCTGGGAGGAGTATGAGGGAGTATTGCCAAAGACAGGTACACATTACCAAAAAAAAATTTAAAAAGCAACAACAAAAAAGGTCTTTCTAATAACTAGCCAACCACCACTTCAGTGAAACCAAGAGACTGATAATTACTAATACTTTCAAGTTTCTTCTGCCTTACTTGGTCATTTATTATATTTGCAGTTATAACTGCTTAACACCCTGAAGGATTGTGTACTTGTTTCTGAAACAGAAGGATATGCTGAGGTTTTGTAATCTGCTTCACATTGGGTATGAAAGGAAAAGGAACCTAGGTGAAAAAGAGACAGGAGCAAAAAAAAAAAAAAAAAACAGGCACATCAAATCCCTGGGACCAAATAAACAGAAGGGGTGGCAATCTATACCCAGGGAATATCCTGCAGCACTTAGAGAGAAGATCCCATTCACCCCAGTAATTCTGGACTACTCATACCACACTTACAGATTCAGCTACTAATGTAGACTACTAATGTAGTCCCAGGACAGAAAATACATAAGCTTAGGGGCTCAGTGTCTTGTTATTACCTCTTGGTTCATCCTAAGTAATTCCAATAACTAAGCTCACTTTTGTTCCTGCAAATACCCACCTTGTATTTCTCCAATAAGAAATCTGGACCCTGTCTCATTTTGTTTCCCTGTGGCTAGGTTTTCAAGGCCTACTGCCAGACCCCATTTCCTCCCTTTTCCCCCAAGATGCCAGTCTGAATCTCTACCTAGTGCCTGCTACCAGCCACCATACCACTCCCAAAGGCCTGTTCCACATACATGTACACGCTGCACTTTGCCAAACATATCCCTGATGCTGACAAGCTGACTGTAGGCACATATAGACCTCCATCCAGATTTCTTAAACTACTGTTCTGTCGCCTCCCCCATCTAGAAAGACTGACTGCCTGACTGCTGAGATAATTTGGTCCCCAAATCCTGCTTGTGTTAAATCTGAATAGCAGTCAGATATCAAATGCTACAACTAAGCAGTAACAGCTCCATCATAATAATTACCCAATTTACCTAAATTTCAATCACATCTTACTAGTTTTTATTTGCTCTTTCTTTTCTGAACATAAAATCTGAAAACTTTCAGATCTTTCACAACTTGCTTCATCAGTTTACCTAAGAAACAGGTCTGCAGCTCCACCCAATTCTCACCCAAATGAATAATCATTATACTTCTTTCTCTACCTATCTGCAAGCCCTTGACACAATTACAATTTTTTATATACATTAAAGTAAGCATTTTTATCGTTCAAAATATATTTAATAACAGGGGAAGATATTCTCTGACAGGATTCTCTGACAGATCTGAATTATGAATAAATAAAAATGAAGCACTTTGAGTTTTCTATTTATTTTAAATGTTTTAAAAATTAGATTTTAGTTAATATGATGTCATTTTAGTTTGCAAATCCCTCAATTAGAAAGATACACGCTGGGCAAGGTGGCTCACGCCTATAATCCCAGTACTTTGGAAGGCTGAGGGGGGCAGATTACAAGGTCAGGAGATCGAGACCATCCTGGCTAACACGGTGAAACCCCATCTCCACTAAAAACACAAAAAATTAGCCAGGCATGGTGGCACGTGCCTGTAGTCCCAGCTACTCGGGAAGCTGAGGCAGGAGACTTGCTTGAACCCGGGAGGCGGAGGTTGCAGTGAGCCGAGATCGCGCCACTGCACTCCAGCCTGGGCGACAGAGCAAGACTCCATCTCAAAAAAAAAAAAAAAAGACAAAAAAAACAAAGCAAACTTCCGGCTCATTTCTACAGGAAACTATAAAATATTATAAATGTGAATTTTCAGCCTTAATGTGATTTTACAAAATTTAAACTACTCAAATTTTGAAACCTCAAAAAATATCTGATGAGTACTTAAATAAGGAAAAGAATTATTACTTTTGCCAGTGATTCAACTTTGAAACAAAAATTTCCTAATATTGTTTTTTCATGCTCTGTAGTTTAATTGAAGTAAATCCTGATACAGAAAGGTGAACCATTAGCATGCAATTTCCATTTGCAACTACTTATCTGTATGAATCAAGATTTTATCCAGGCCAGGTACAGTGGTGCAGCTGTAATCCCAGCACTTTGGGAGGCCAAAGCAGGTGAACTGCTTGAGGCCAAGAGTTTGAGACTAGCCTGGGCAAGACAGGGAGAGCCTGTATCTACAAAAAAATTTTAAACTAGGCCAGAGGTGGTAGTGTGCACCTGTAGCCCTGGCTACTTGGGAAGCAGAGGCAAGAGTTTGAGGCTGCAGTGAGCTATGATCATGCCACTGAACTCCAACCTGGGTAACAGAGCAAGACCTTGTCTCTAAAAATAAGTAAATAAATAACATATAAATAAAAATTTTTAAAATATTTTCTCCAAACAGTACAACAAAGTAACATAAAGAAATCACTCTATTATAGAAGTGCATATATCATCTAAACCAACCACAAATTTGTCTATTAAAACCACCACGAGGCCAGGTGCAGTGGCTCACGCCTGTAATCCCAGCACTTTGGGAGGCCAAAGCGGGCAGATCACATGAGGTCAGGAGTTCGAGACCAGCCTGACCAACATGGTGAAACCCTGTCTCTACTAAAAATGCAAAAATTAGCTGGGCATGGTGGCACACACCTGTAATCCCAGCTACTGAGGAGGATGAGACAAGAGAATCCCTTGAACCCAGGAGGCGGAGGTTGCGGTGAGCCGAGATCGCACCACAGCACTCCAGCTTGGGCAACAGAGCAAAACTCCATCAAAAAAACAAACAAACAAACAAAAAAACACCACCACATGACTGATATGTTTTATATACGAGAGCCTATAAAATAAACTAAAAAGTTCACCGCCTTATCTAAAATTATTAAAGAGAAATTCTGCCCTTAGAAGTCTGCTTACTCTTCCAAAAATAAAAATTCACAAATATTCCTTTTTTGTGCTCTAGAAATGCTCTGACACTTTGTGCCATTTGCTTTCTGCCTAATTCTGCTCCAAAATGCCGATCTGTATTTTTGGAATAAGAAAAATAAGCACTGCCTATCTGTCTCCCTAGAGCTCTTCCCAAATTCTTTCACACAGAATACCTCAAACTTCTCAATAGGCATTTTATCACATTTAACAAATGTAGACACTAAAAACATAAACTTCAAATAAGTCTACTAGTAGTCATCCCACTTAAGAGTTTTTCCTAAGCAACTAAAGCTCTTACCAATAATGGACTTTCGCACAGTACATCCAACATTGAAAAAAGTATCTATGTGGTTTCTGTAAGGTTATATCACATAAAATTCAATTTCTGCCTTAGTGCAAAATCATCTCATCCCTCTGGTCCTTTATTTAAAGAAAATATCCTACTTCTAACAAAGGTCAAAAATTGAGATTTTTTTTTTCCCAAGTTGGTACAAGAATTAGGGAAATCATTTGAAAATGAAAATCACCACCGCCAGCACTGGCAGTGTTCTAAGCACTTTACAAGTAGTAACTCATTCAATCCTCCTAACAACCTATGAGGTTGATATTTTATTCCATTTATAGATTGAGAAACTGAAGCACAGAGAAGTAATGTGCTCAGTCACACAGCCAGTAGGTAGAAGAGAATTTGACCTCAAGTAGTCTCTGTCCAGAGCCCATGCTTTTAACTCTCTAGCTGTACCACCTAAACTTAAGAACCACCATTTAATAGGCATCCAAATTATCTTACACACAAAAAAAATTTCAGATTTTTTCATTTTGTGACAAATTAGATAAAATATCATGTAAATATTTTAGGCTGCATCTAAAATCATAAGAAAAAAGGATGGCTGGTAAAACCAAATAAATGAGATTTATATTAAAGAGCAAACTCCCTTTAAGTGAACTTGGGAATTTTATTATTACATGACCAATAAACTTAAAGAATATATATATTGATATGGAAATGTTTCACAAACACTTTACAAAAACTTAACCACAAATGCCCTCAGTAACATACCTTCAAAACACATTCTAAGTAGTCGAGAGTATACCAACATTGATATCCAAGTCTATATGAAAACTCACCTAAACAGAACACAACAAATAAATCACAAAGAAAAAGCCTCTGGACAATCAAAATAGGTATTCCAATGTCCAAGTATTGGTACACATTTACTTTTCTCCAGAGACGACCTCACACACTAAGTAACGGCCTACTGATTTTTCCCCTATGCAGAATCACAAACCTGAATATGATTTCCACACTTCTAAAAAAAAATTAGAAAAGGAAAGATGATGGGGGACACTAATCAGTTACAAGCACATCCAAAAGCAAAGCAAAAAAAAAAAGTATTTAAATAATTTCAAAATGCGAACAAATATTATTTAGAATTTAGCTCAAAAGCCCTATATGCAAAACAAGACTGCATCCCCAGGTCATCCAAAGTAGTTTAATTTTATTCTGCATCCCATTTAAGACAGAAAAGAACTGTGTAATTAACTTTAGTATTATCTTAATCCAAAGCAGTTAAAGTGATTTTATAATTTCATACTTAAAAGAATATGCCCACAATTGCCCTGCAAGCTCAACTAATCAATTATAAAATAATTCATTTGAAAATTCCAAATAGCAAATGTTTTATTTCACTGTTTTTGAGCTCAAGAGCACTTTTGAGTATGAAAGTTACCTGAAAGGAGGGAGGTGGAGAAGGGAACATAAAATTAGAAAAGTCTAAGAAAACAGAGGATAGCTAGGCGAGTGTCTATAAACAATATGCTCAAAACATCCCCCACAAAGCAAAGTGTGGACAGAGGGTGCCACATCAGCAGTAGTCTGTATTCGTCCTGCTTCTAAATCATTTGTTAATTACATGAATTATTCATTTCGGTGATCGTTTGTTGATATGAAGCAGTACCAACTCTCAACTGCAAAAAGTGATAGGGTCCTCCTGATTTGCTCTACAAAAATCAAACTTGGGTTTACTCTTACAGAACACGTTCTGCCTTATAGAGACACAGGGTGTTTTGTTTTTTGTAAGCTATTCTTAAGTTGCTTTTAATTTTTAAAGGATTGAGGGAGTTAGTTTAATGCCTAGCCCACACCGAACTTTGTTATCAAAAGAAATTGTTACACCACTTAACAAAACTCCTTTTCAACCCGGACTGCCACACATTCTGCCTTCTCTAACTTCAAACAAAACTATAAAGCACATAGTAAATAACATATAAGGCCTTGTATTTTTCTCTCCTCCGGCAAGGAAGTCTAACTCCAAACAGGAAACTGCTCCTCAAAGGATCCAACACTGAAGTCCAAACCCAGTCCTCGGGAGCACACTGAATGCTTAGGTGCCAACACACTTGCCTAGGTAGAACCCGAGTAAAACAAATACTCAAGCTTTCCTGTCCTTGAGGCACCCCTTGCGAGTTTCAGCAGGAAAAAAAAAAAGTTTTTGAACAAATTTATCTCTCTCCTTAAACGTATTCAAAGCCTCGCAGAAAATAAAGAAGTTGAAAGTGCTACTTTATCAAGTTTTTCGATCGCCCTCCCCCATCCCACGAGGAGGGGGAGGGAAGCAAGGGGATGAGGAAGGGAAGGAAGGTCAGGTCTGATTTTAGCTGGGCAAGGGGTTAGCAGAGGTGGCCAGGCGCCCCCGCCCCCCATCCCGCACCTTTCTGGTGAACAGGAAAAGAGGCGGAGAAGGGAGAGCGAGGGAAAGCACCCGCGAGCTCTCCCACCAGTTTCTCCGTGAGAAGAGCAAGGTGGAAGGCAGGGCAAGAAGGGGCGGTGGGGAGAATGGAGAGGGTGGGGTGCTGCCGCTCAGGGGCTGACCGCAGTCGCCTCCCCAGAAGGCCGAGAAAGGGCACAGCCTCCCCGGGTCTGGAAGGTCCGGACGGGCGGCGGGAAGCGCCCGAGTCTCTTACCCATGCTGGGGGCTCCCGCGGGGAGAAGCCGACGTCCGCTCCTCCTCCTCCTCCTCCAGTGGTGGCTCGCGCGGCCGCTCCCGCGGCTGGAGGCGGGACCCGCGCTCCGCGCTAGCCCCTCCTGAGCTCAGGCGGGGCGAAGAGTCGCCTCCATCCGCCCGCGGCGCTCTCCTACCAGTCTCTTCAGCGCGGCCCTCGAGGCAGAGGCAAAGGCGGCGACAGCTCCTCACCCCTGGCCTCCCCAGGAGCCACGGCGGCGGGAGGGCCCTACCCCGCCCGCCCGACCGCGGTTTTCCCACCCTGGCCGCTCCCGCAGTGGGGAGGGACCCACCGGTTTGCCCAGACCCTCGGCTCCAACCCCGAGCGCCCGCCTAGCCTCGGAGCCCGCCCCTCGCCTCTTCCTTAGCACTCGCAGTTAGAAAAGGCGACACCGTAGACTAAGGTGGGGACCCAGACAGAGGCCGAGAAGGTGCGGGGAGCTGGGACCGGGAGGAGGCAAATCTCGCGAGAACGCCCTCGTTCTCCCCGCCCCACCCCGCCCCGTCGCGTTCGGGCTCTCTCCCGGTCCCCACGGCTGCTGCCAGGTGCGGTGACGTCACGGCCGGGGGTCGCGCGCCGACCGCGTCCAGGTGCAGCGAGCGGATGAGGAAGCGGTGCAGAGGAGCTTGGGCTCGCTCTCCCCCCGGAGGCTCGGAACAGCTTGGGCGGGCGTTTGGTCTGGTTTGTCGCCTCAGATGGATCAAAAGGTTTCTGCTGATAGGCAAAGTTGCCCCACTTTCCGCGGCGGCGACGCGGAGTTACTTTCTGCAGCGAAGCAGCCTCGAGGACCTTAAAGGGAAAAGGCGGACAGAAGGAGGGCGAGCGCACTTGATTTCGACCTTTAAGGGAGGCCCAGATGCTGCCAGGCCCCTCAGTTTACCTTGCGAAGTTACTTACGGATCAGCAGCATTTGGTCTTCGTCGGGTGAGGGAGAAACCTAGGCATCAAATAAATTCTGTTTCACAGATTCCTTTAGTCTCTTGTCAGCTGAATGCAACTTTATAATTTGCTTTTTTTCTTTTTAAAGTATAATTTGAGTTGTTACTTGATCGAGAGAAAAATAGGCATCATGATTTGAAATACTGCCAGGCATTTTTTCTAGCGTCAATGTGAAGGAGGGCATAGGATTACTATAGTCAGTCAAACATGAGCTTGGTAGTTACGAAGAAGTATAATTATTTCAGCAAGCTTTTTTTCCCCCTTCTGTTTAAGTAGACCCAATTCCAGGGCAGATGTGTGTGTGAGCGTTTGTTGAACGCCAACTATTGTGCCTAGTGCTTTTTCAAGAAATTTTGTAATTCTCAGTCATCCAGCACTGAAACTGACTTGCCCTTTGGATCCAGGCAGACATGGGTCCTTGAAACTCAGCACAGCCATTTACTTTTTGTGGGACCTTGGATAAATTAACCTGTCTGAACTTCAATTTCTTGAGTATGTTCAAACAAATCTTGCAATGCAGAGCACAGTGGCCCATAGTAGTAACCTTGGACGTATCCATTACCACTATTTCCTATAGGCCTGCTTTTGCCATCTTTTAATTCTTCTAATGCTTCTCAAAAGGTTACATGTGGTAATTTTATAACAAGAATGATCAAACTCACAAACAGCAGCCAAAAAGGATAAAAGAAAAAAGTTGAATATACTCACCTAAACAAGATTACATTGACATCATGGAACATGTGCCTTTTTTAGGTAACAAATATGTGTTCAGCATTATGTTCGTTGTCCCCTACCAAGCAAAAAAATAAAAAGCTAAAGTACAGCGCTAATCCTCAGAGATTTTGCATTCTTCTAGGGGGGTGAGATACGAACACAAAGTTAATTAACAGTATGAGGTAGTGAGGGTCAAATGCTTGAGAATTTAAAGGAAAATAAATTACTGTGGGCAAAGCAAGCTGTAAAGAGAAGGTATGAGTTGAACGAAAGCTTGGGGAAGGCAATAATTCAGTCTGGAGGAGTCCTAGAACTGAGGAATGGAAGTGGATATGCAAACAGAGTATTTCTGAGCCTTTAAGAAATGTGTGTGGCTCAAGCAGCCCATAAGGAAGGCCATTTACGATTTGGAAGAATGAGGCTGGTGATGGGCTAAGAAGGATTCATGAAAGGAGACAAAAATATAAGCTATTGGAAGCACATACATAGGTAGTAAATTCAAGGCCCAGAGCCCTTAAGTTTCTAGAGACTAAATTTCTAGGTCTCTAGAATCCTTAATATTTAAAGAAGAAAGGCCAATGAATAGAATGGAAAAGAAGTTAAGTAAAACAGAAGGGGGAATAAAGACTATCAGATTTGATAATAAGGGCATCTTTGAAAATATAATTTCAGAATATATATAATAGAATATATAATATATAACTACATATTCAGAATATATATATAATAGAAAATTCAGATTAAAGGTTTTATCAATTGAATGATAAGGAAGTGGAGGCCACAGATAAGGTAGATATTTTCTGAGAAGTCAGGTCACATGATCTGACAACAAGATAAAACATTTACAATCATTTATGTCCTAGAAATTCCAGGATCTTCACACTTGTAATCCCAGCAATTTGGGAGGCCAAGGGAGGAGGAGCACTTGAACCCAGGAGTTTGAGACCAGCCTGGGCAACATAGCAAGACTCCATCTCTACAAAAAAAAAAAAAAAAAAAATACAAAAATTAGCCCAGGTATGGTGGCACAGGCCTGCGGTCTCAACTACTTGGGAGGCGGAAGTGAGAGGATCACCTGAGTCCAGGGCCGTCGAGGCTGCAGTGAACTGTGATCCTGCCACTGCACTCCACCCAGCCTGGATGACAGAGTGAGACCCTGTCTCAAAAAAAAAAAAAAAAAAAATTCTAGCATCAGTTATTGCCATAATTAATGTACGTATTTTACAAGTTTAAAAGTTAAATTCACTTTGCAAATTCAGAGGCATTATCCATTGAGGTAATGATGAGATGACAAATCATAGAAATTGGAAGGATCAGGGAATAGAACCCCTAAGAATGGTTGAGAAAACTGAAGTAAATCTAAGAAGTAATCGCAATCCCAAATTTAATGTTGTTTTCCAAAGACAAAGCCAAAGGAAATTCTAACAGAAGAATGAAATCTAGCAATTTACTTTTAAACTTACAAAATGGTATGTAAAAATACCTTCTAAACTTTTGAATGCTATGCAAATATTAGTTATTAATTATTCCTTTAAGCTCTTTTCATCCTTTAAATCTTACCTTCTCAGCTATAAGAGGCCTTCAAGGTATGGCAGTATGTTTTATACGTTTTTATATGGCTACCACCGTCTGCAGCTCAAAACATTGCGTTCCCTGGCAATAATTATTAGTTGAATGAGAGAAAATATGGTGAGAAGATAATTTCTACTTACCACATATATTAAATTTAAATTCCTTTAATCTAAAAACAAATTATCTTTTACTTTTCCCTTTATTTTATTGTTACCTTTATACTGGATTAGGTTTGTTTCTGTCCATCTGTCCTTATTCTTCTTTGTATTCCAGTACAAATGGACTAACACCACTCTAATCATTCACTTTCTTTTTTTCTGCCAAGTACTAAACATGTTGATCTGATATCAAGGAGAGCACTACAGTTCTGTGTGAATGACACAATTTCAGACCAACGTAATTCATGCTAAACTGCCATGATTTCTTCCTGAAGTTTTCTTAGGAATTTATCTGAAGATATCTATATTTTAAAAAAGCATCTGCCTTCTTTCCTTTTGGTAAAAACTATTATAACCAAGAAGATTATGCTAAAGAAAAATAAGTGTTAACTAAATTATATTATTTTTAAAGCACTCATTTAGCTAAAATCTTGTGACTAATTATTTTTTCTTTATTCTCATTCAAAAGTACTAGGTTTCCTGGGAAGTTTTCTTACTGCTACCTTGTTTTGGCCTGGCTAATTTACTGTAAACTTAAGCCCAAATTACATCAATGTATAATCTGCATTTTAAAAATCATTCTTTAGAAAACAATTGTAGGAAATAATAACCTCAATCAGAATGCCTATACTGTGAGATCATTGAAGCTGAAAAATCCCCCTGCTCAAACTGGTGGCCCATTCAGCTTGCAACAAAATACTGTTCCTCGACTAGCAACTTGGGGGATGTCCTCAGGCCTATGACCACTCTAAGCACTTTTCATTATTGCATACTAAGAAAGAGTTAATTAAAAACATGATGACCCATCTAAATGAATCACCACTTGCCAACTGCAAGGACCTTTTTAATGGTGTTATTTGCACTTTATTCAGATGCTAGTGTCATAAAGCTGGCATTTGATAGGCAAGTCATAGGAGACTCATAGGCCTTTAAAGGGAATATCTTTCAAGAAGCATTACTCCTCCCAAATATTAAAGCTAGCTCCTTTTGAAGGGTCACATATTTTAAGTAATCTCAAATAACAAATACATTTGCATTTTCAAATATCAGGCAGTTAAATTATACACATGGTATTATGTAAATAATTTCCAGTCACAAGTACACATTTATTCAACTCAACAGATGTTTTTCTGATCACCCATTACAAATGAGCAGCTTCTGGATGATAAATATAGAGATAGAAATAAAGTCCTTGCCCTTAAAAGAGAAAGGATTGGGGAGTCTCTCGAGGGTACATTGGAATTCTCAGTAAGGACAAGGAAGGGTAGTCAGGTAGCCAGGACAATAGGCAGGTATACAATCCAAAGCCCAGGATGGGCGTGGTAGTTCACGCCTGTAATCCCAATACTTTGGGAGGCCAAGGCGGGCAGATCACCTGAGGTCAGGAGTTCAAGACCAGCCTGGTCAACATGGCGAAACCCTATCTCTACTAAAAATACAAAAATTAGCCAGGCATGGTGGTGGGTGCCTGTAATCCCAGCTACTTGGGAGGCTGAGGCAGGAGAATCACTTGAACCCGGGAAGCAGAGGTTGCAGTGAGCCAAGATCATGCCACTGCACTCCAGCCTGGGTGGCAGAGTAAGACTCCATCTCAAAAAAAAAAAAAAAAAAGGCTAGGATGTCTTTGAGGGGCCAGGCTCTGAGACCACACTCAAATATGGAGAGCACTGTGTGCCAGGGAAGTAATTTGACGTCTTGTTCTAGAAGTAAGAGGCAATTAATGAAGTATTTTAAGTAGGCAACTGATTTGCTTTTCCAGCTACATCCACGGTCATAAAAAAAATGCACACAAGTCACAAAAAATTAGGTACAAAAAAATTTGGTTAAATAAGCATTGATTAAGCACCCACTACCCTCAAATAATTAGTAAATATGTTTTTTTACTAATACAATAAATGTTTAAACTAATATAAGATACAAGGGATTTCATATGCTGGACACTGTGAAAGATTCATTGCAGCAAACACAAACTCTGCCTTCAAGGAATGTGATTTCCAGCTAAGAAGGCAAAGATATACCTAACTATTTCAACTTGCACTTATTTAAATAAAATGTACCTTATTGAGGAGAACCTGCATTTCGAATCAACATGGCACAGACAAATAAACTGGGGAAATTTTCAATTTAATAATTAATTTGTAGTATTCTTATTTGAATCTCTGCAAAATTTTATGCTATAGAAATTTTTAATTTTTGTGGGTACATAGTAGGTGTATAGATTTATGGGGTACATGAGATATTTTTATACAGCCATACAATGCATAATAATCACATCAGGGTAAATGGGATATCCATCACCTCAAGCATTTATCCATTCTTTGTGTTGCAAACAATTCAATTATATTATTTTAGCTATCTTAAGATGTGTAATAAATTATTGTTGACTGTGCTCTCCCTGTTATTCTATTTAATCATACTCATTCTATCTAACTATATTTTTGCACCCATTAACCATTCCCATTCTCCCCACCCCTGCCCAGCCTCTTCTAACCATCATTCTACACTCTGTGAGTTCAATTGTTTTAAATTTTTTACCTCCCACAAATAAGTGAGAACATGCAAAGTTTGTCTTTCTGTTCCTGGCTTAATTCACTTAACATATGACTTCCAGTTCCATTCATGTTTTTGCAGATGACAGGATTCCATTCTTTTCTATGAATGAATAGTACTCCATTGTGTATATGTACCACATTTTCTTTATCCATTCATCTGTTGATGGACACTTAGGTTGATTCCAAATATTGGCTATTGTGAGTAGTGCTGCAATAAACATGAGAGGACAGATATCTCTTTGATATAAGATTTCCTTTCTTTTGGGTATACGCTTAGCAGTAGAATTGCTGGATCATATTATGGTGGTTCTATTTTTAGTTTTATGAGGAACCTCCAAAACTGTTCTCCATAGTGGCTATACTAATTTACATTCCCACCAACAGTGTACAAAGGTTCTCTTTTCTCCACATTCTCACCAGCATTTGTTATTACTTGTCTTTTAGATAAAAGCCATTTTAACTGGGGAGAGATGATATCTCACTGTAGTTTTCATTTGTATTTCTCTGATGATCAATGATGTTGAGCATATTTTCATATACCTGTTTGCCATTTTTTTTTTTTTTTGAGACGGGGTTTTGCTCTTGTTGCCCAGGCTGGAGTGCAATGGCATAATCTTGGCTCACCACAACCTCCGCCTCCCAGGTTCAACCAATTTTCCTGCCTCAGCCTCCCAAGTAGCTGGGATTACAGGCATGCGCCACCATGCCCAGCTAATTTTTGTATTTTTAGTAGAAACAGGGTTTCTTCACATTGGTCAGGCTGGTCTCGAAATCCCAACCTCAGGTGATCCGCCTGCCTTGGCCTCCCAAAGTGCTGGGGTTGCAGGCGTGAGCCACTGCACCTGGCCTCCTGTTTGCCATTTTTATATCTCCTTTTGAGAAATGTCTATTCAGATCTTTTGCCCATTTTTAATCAAATTATTAAATTTCTCCTATAGAGTTATTTAAGCTCTTTATGTACTGTAGTTATTTATCCCTTGTCAGGCAGATAGTTTGCAAATATTTTCTCCCATTCTGTAGGTTGCCTCTTCACTTCGTTGATTGTTTCCTTTGCTGTGCAGACACTCTTTAACATGATGTAATCCCATTTGCCACTTTTGCTTTGGTTTCCTGTGCTTGTGAGGGTACTAATCAAGAAATCTTTGCCCAGTCCAATGTCCTAAAGAGTTTCCCCCAATATTTTCTTTTAGTAGTTTCATAGGTTCAGGTCTTAGAAATTTAAATCTTTACTCCATTTTGATTTGATTTTTGTGTATCACAACAGATGGGATCTAGTTTCATTCTTCTACATATGGGTATCCAGTTTTCCCAGCACCATTTATTGAAGAAACCATTCTTTCCCCAAAGTATGTTCTTGGCACCTTTGTTGAAAATGAGTTCACTGTAGATGTATGGATTAATTTCTATGTTCTCTATTCTGTTCCACTGGTCTATGTGTCTGTTTTTATGCCAGTACCCTGCTGTTTTGGTTAGCACAGCTCTGTAGTATAATTTGAAGTTGCATAACGTAATGCCTCCAGTTTCGTTCTTTTTTGCTCAGGATAGCTTTGGATATTCTGGGTCTTTTGTGGTTCCATATTAATTTTATGATTGTTTTCTCCATTTCTGTGAAGAATGTCATTGGTGTTTTGATAGGAACTGCATTAAATTTGTACATTACTTTGGGTGGTGTGGACATTTTAACAATATTGATTCTTCCAATCCATGAACATGGAATATCTTTCTATTTGTGTGTGTGTGTGTGTGTTTGTGTGTGTATGTGTGTGTCTTCTTCAGTTTCTTTCATCAGTATTTTATGGTTTTGATTGTAGAGAACTTCCACTTCTTTGGTTAATTCCCAAATATATTATTTTATATGTAGTTATTATAAATGGGATTACTTTCTTGATTTCTTTTTTAGATTGTTTGCTGTTGGCATATAGAAATGCTACTGATTTTTGTATGTTGATTTTGTATCCTGCAACTTTACTGAATTTGATTATCAGTTCTAATAGTTTTTTGGTGGCGTCTTTAGGTTTTTCCAAATATAAAATTATATCTTCTGCATGCAAAGATAATTTGACTTCTTCCTTTCCAATTCGGGTGCCCTTTATTCCCTTCTCTTGCCTGATTGCTGTAGATAGAACTTCCAGCACCATGTTGAACAACAGTTGTGAATGTGGACATCTTTTTCTTGTTCCAGATCTTACAGGAAAGGCCATTTTTTCCTCTCATCAGTTTTTCCCCATTCAGTATGATACTAGCTGTGAGTCTGTCATACATGGCTTTTATGGTGTTGAGGTATGTTCCTTCTATACCCAGTTTTTTGGGGGGTTTTTATCATAATGTTGAATTTTATCAAATGGTTTTTAGGCATCAGTTAAAATTATCATATAGTTTTTGTCCTTCATTCTGCTTATATGATGAATCACATTGATTTATTTACTTATGTTGAACCATCTTTGCATATCTGGGATAAATCCCACATGGTCATGATGAATGCTGTTTTTAATGTGCTGTTGGATTCTGTTTGCTAGTATTTTATTGAGGATTTTCACATGAATATTCATCAGAAATATTGACCTGTAGTTTTCTTTTCTTGATGTGTCCTTGTCTGGTTTTGGTATCAGGATAGTATTGGTTTTATAGAATAAGTTTGGAAGTATTCCCTCCTTCTCTATTTTTTGGAATAGTTTGAGAAGCATTGGTATTCGTTCTTCTTTAAATATTTGGTGAAATTCACCAGTGAGGACATTGGATCTTGGACTTTCTTGGCTGGGAGATTCTTTATTATGGCTTCAATCTTGTTACTTGTTATTGCCCTATTCAGGTTTTGAATTTCATAAGCTTCAATCTTAGTAGGTTGTAGGTGTCTAGAAATTTGCCCAAGTCTTCTAGGTTTTCCAATTTATTGGCATATAGTTGCCCATGGTAGCCCCTAATGATCCTTTGAATTTCTGCAGTAACAGTTGTAATGTATCCTTTTTCATCTCTGAATTTATTTATCAGGGTCTTGTCTCTTTTTTCTTAGTCTGGCTAAGAGTTTCTCAATTTATCTTTTTAGAAAACAACTTTTTTCATTTTTTTTAAATTTTAATTTCATTTATCTCCGCTCTGATCTTCATTGTTTCTTTTCTTCACTAATTTTGGGTTTGGTTTGCTCTTGCTTTTCTAGTTTATAAAAATGCATTGTTAGATCATTTATTTGATTTTTTCTACTTTTTTGATGTAGGCGCTTATTGGTAAAAATGTTCCTTTTAGTACTGCTTTTGCTGTATCCCATAGATTTTGATATGTCTTGTTTCCATTTTCATTTGTTTCAAGACAGTTTTTAATTTGCTTCTTAGAGTTTTTACTGACCCACTGGTTATTTAGGAGCATATTGTTTAATTTCCACGTGATTGTATAGTTTCCAAAGTTCCTTTTGTTATTGATTTCTAGTTTTGCTCCACTGTGGTCAGAAAAGATACTTGATATGATTTCAATTTTTTGAATTTTTTAAGACTTGTTTTGTGGCTTAACATATGGTCTGTTTTTGAGAATAAGCCATGTGCTAAAGAGAAGAATGTGTATTCTTCAGCTGTTGGATAAAATATTCTGTAACTATCTATTAGATTCATTTGGCCTATAGTCCAGATTAAGTTCAACGTTTCTTTGTTGATTTTCTGTCTGGATGATCTCACCAATGCTGAAAGTTGGGTGTTGAAATCTCCAGCTATTATTGTATTGGGGTCTATCTCTCTTTAGCTCTAATATTATTTGCTTTCTATATCTGCATGCTGCAGTGTTGAGTGCATATATATATACAATTGTTATATCCTCTTGCTGAATTCACCTTTTTTATCATTATATCATGACCATCTTTTTCTCTTTTTGTGGACTTTGTCTTGAAATCTATTTTGTCTAGTATAAGTATAGCTTTTCCTGCTCTTTTTTGGCTCCCTTGGGATGGAATATCTTTTTCCATCCCTTTATTTTCAGTCTATGTGTGTCTTTATACATGAATTATGTTTCTTGTAGATATAGTTCACTGGGTCTTGTTTTTTTATATCCATTTAGCCACTATCTATGTCTTTTGATTAGAGAGTTTAGTACATTTACATTCAATGTTATTATTGATAAGTAAGGACTTATTCCTGGCCCTAGCCATACATTATTTCCAAAATAATAAATGGAAATTTTATTTCATATCCCAGTCTAACTTCCTAAACTGCACAGATTACAATAAGGGCTATATCCCATCTGGTACTGGAGCTTTTATGCTACGTGTTCTGACATTATCTTGGTGCCCAAAATTAAATGCCTGCCAAAGCAAAAGAGTCTCATACACCGAGATGTTTCTCTCTGCTTATTCCTTATTCACATTTTGTTCTTAGGTTTCCAGGCCAGGTCTCAACACTCCCATAACTGCATCACATTCTCTTTTTTTTTTTTTTTTTTTAGAGAGACGGAGTCTCGCTCCTTCTCCCAGGCCGGACTGCAGTGGCGCTATCTCGGCTCACTGCAAGCTCCGCCTCCCGGGTTCATGCCATTCTCCTGCCTCAGCCTCCCGAGTAGCTGGGATTACAGGCGCCCGCCACCGCGCCCGGCTAATTTTTTGTATTTTTAGTAGAGACGGGGTTTCACCGTGTTAGCCAAGATGGTCTGGATCTCCTGACCTCGTGATCCGTGCGCCTCGGCCTCCCAAAGTGCTGGGATTACAGGGGTGAGCCACCGCGCCCGGCCACCTGCATCACATTCTATATGCGGTTCATAAGCAAGTCTCAACCTCCCTGTCTCCCCATACCTCCCCAGCCATCATCTGCCTTGTCTCACATTTATTTAAATATCAAGTAAATTAGAGTGCACTTCAACCTCCTTACCCCCGAGGCCTATACCAATACTTCCACTTCATAACCAGGGAACTGATGCATCCTAAATAGTCCCCTGCACACTCTGCCAACCTTCTTCTGTGTGGAATTGCTTCTTTGAAATGGTCCATGCCCTCTTTTTGCCCCTCAATAGTTATATCTCTGATTTGGACTTACAATGTTACACTTGGGCTACATTTTTCCCTTTCCATTTCCTAGGCTGTAATCTTCATCCTTTTTTCACTTTGTCCTTTCTTATCCTTTTTCTCTATCTTACACTATGTCTTTCCTTACTCTTTAACACCATCCTTAGATTATCAATCCAGTTTAACTGGTTTTGTAAACGCTACAAAGGTAACCTCTTTGATTACCTCCCTCACTGCCAAATATATTTTCACAGAATAATGTTGGGCCTTACTGAGACCATGGTAAGGTGACAAAGCTTTCTCACAGTACACAAATCTCAATGTACTCCTTAAGACAAATTAGTGAAGGAGGTAATACTATTTCTAGTTTGACAATGTTAGCAATGACAACAATGTCAATAACAGCTAACACCATCTGACCATTTTAAGTCTCAAGCATGGACCTAGACACTTCATACACCTCATCTGACATGACCTTCATTACAATGCTACGAGTGGTAGTATTATCACCCTATTTAAAGAGCAGGAAGCTGAGACTAGTTAATTAACTTGCCTAAGGTCACATAACCATTAAGAAGCAGAGCCTGTGAGAATTCAGGGCTAATTCCATAGCTGAGGCTCCAGCCTATCTTAGGTCAATTCACTCCTTGAGCTGTGATTTCTTCCTTTGTTTAAAAGGAAGGAGGAGGAGGAGGAGAGAGAGAAAGAGGTCAGTGGAGGAGCTGAAGGAATCCTTCTTCAGTGGTTTGTATACGGATCAAGTCATATGTTAAGTGAATTAAGCATCAAGTGTCTAGTCTGTGTCAGGCCAGAATCAGTGACCTGTGGCTTGTAATTCCATCTACTTGGGAGGCTGAGGTGGGAGGATTGCTTGAGCCCAGGAATTCAAAGCTGCAAGGAACTAGGATAGTGCCACAGCACTCCAGCCTGGGTGACAGAGCCTTGCTCAATATCTTTTAAAAAAAAAAAAAAAAAGTGGAATTACTAAATCAAAAGCCAAAAACATTTACATTTTGATTATATTTTGCCAAATTGCCTTCCAAAAATGTTTCACCAGTTACTGTTTTCAATAGTCTATACTGTCATCAAAACTGGATATTAACAATCTTTTGAGTTTAGCCCATAGGATACAAAAAAATTATAGCTCGTTGTTTCAATTTAGATTACGGAGGTTGAGAATCTTTACATATGTATACTATTTTCATATGTTTGCCTAAAAATTGCCAGCCTGCCAGCACATATCCTTGGCTCATTTGTCTTTTTTGTTATAATTTTCTCGGTGATTTCTAAGAACTCTTTATTCTAGGGATATTAGTTATTTTTCCAGGTACCCATCTGCTCTTAGATCCATTCCTGTCTTTCCCCTGGGTTTGTGTGGGACGAGAGTTGGGGTGTGGAGCACTGGCCCTTGCAGACTCCTTTCCCAGTCAGTTGGCTTCCAGTTGAATCTGGACAAAGAGAGGCACTGGTGAGAGACTGGAAGGTATGGAAGGCACAAGGAGAGCTCCCTCAAAGATGCCTACTTCCCAGTCCCTGAAACCTGTGAACACATCATATTACATAGCAAAGGAGAATTGAGTTACAGATGGAATTATGTTTGCAAATCAGCTGACCTTAAAATGAGATTACCCTAGGTTTTCCAGGTAGTACCGATGTAATCACAAGGGAACTTAAAAGGTGATAGCATGAGAAGGATTTGACTGGCCATTGCTGCCTTTGAAAATAGAGGAAAGAGGAGCTAGGAAAGGTAGCCTCAAGAAACTGGAAAAGCCAAGGAAAATAGATTCTTCCCTAAAGCCTTGGAAAGAAATGCAGTTCTGACATCTTGTTTTTATCCCAGTGAGAGGCATTTCAGATTTCTGATCTCTAGAACTGTAAAAAAATAAATCTGTGTTGCTCCAAGTCAGCTAGTATGTAGTAATTTGTTATAGCAGCAATTAGGAAACTAATACAGAAGTCAAGAGGGAGGAAAGAGCTGGGACGTTTGCACTCCACCCCATCCTCTACTTCAAGCAGCATCTCTAACATCCACTGCATATTCCCTATGGCTTCTGCTGCCATCAGAGAGGGCTGTCTGGTTTTGGCTCCAGCAGGGCTCTGGGCACTGGGAACACTACATCCTCCTTTTTTCCTTCCAGTTTAGGGGCAAAGAGGCTACCTGCTGTTGATAACTTCTAAAGGGCTTATCAACCCCTTTTTTGCTTCTTTTCTCTTCCATCACCTCTGAGAACAATTCCTTTATTAGATTATCTTTGTTTCAGGAGTTTAGAGTGATCTCTCATTTCCTGGTTACACCCTGCCTGATATAGTCTGTCAAAAGTTTTGCTAGTATGTTTTCCCAATTTGATGTTTTTTTTAATGTTTTATGGTGTTTTTATGTCATTTAGAAAGTTTAAACGTGCATGTAATTTAAACTTACCAATTTTTCTGGTTTTTTTTTTGAGTTTTCATTAAAGTTGAAAAGCCTTTTCTCCTCCAAAATTAAAAAATAACCTATTATTTTATCAAAATTAAAACTTTTTACTGATAATGTATAATCACACAAGTATAAGTCTTAAGTGTATAGCTTGCTGAATTTTCACTAACTGTAAAACTTCTAGTCATATTGTAATTTTATTTTTTACATTTACAGTTGTAACATGTATGGATTTTATTTGAGTGTGCATGGAGTAAGATTGGAATTCAGGTTTGTTTTTGTTTTCCCTTCAATGACTAGCTATTCATAATGTTTGAGAATAGTAATCCATATTACTCCTATGGATTTGAAATTCTGCCTTTATCACACATTTAATTCATATAATTGATCAATTTCTGGACTCTGATCTATCTATTCCTGTGTTTGTATTTCACTGTTTCCTAATATTTTAATATGCAATTGTGCTAAACATCCTCCTCATCCTTATTACTCATCTTCGAAAAATAAACTGGTTTAAATGTTTACAATTACAAAAAGGCCTTGCCCTTGCAAGAAAGGGTGAGTCAATATCAAAAACAAGCTCTAGGCCAGGTAATGGAGTTAATAAATTATCTTGGGTAACTTTGTGCAGATGTTTGTCTTTCTATTGCCAGATTACCCAGGATTTGGCACATGTAAATATTCAGTAAATGAGTGGTTCCCAAGCCTGGCTAAGCATTAAAAGCATATCAAACACACATTTTGGCTAAATTCCAACAGGTAGAGTATTACAACCAATATTCATCAGAACTCATGGTCAGACCTGGATTGTCATAGATTGAAATTCTGGCATACAAGAATAAATCTGAATTTTTCATTAAAAATTGTTTCAATTTAGTTATTTAAAATTTTAGGACTGGACACAGTGGCTAATGCCTGTAATTCCAGCACTGTGGGAGGCCAAGGCAGGTGGATTGCTTGAGCCCAGGAGTTTGAGATCAGCCTGGGCAACATGGCAAGATCCTGTCCTACAAAAAGTATGAAAATTAGCTGGGCATGGTGGTGTGTACCTGTAGTCTTAGCTACTCCAGAGGCTGAGATGGGAAGATCACTTGAGCCTGGGAAGTTGAGGCTGCAGTGAGCCATGATCTCGCCATTGTAGTCCAGCCTGAGTGACAGTGTGACCACTTCTCAGAAAAATAAATAAAATAAAATAAAATTTTAGAATTTGAATTTTTAAGTTTGACATTGTAGAGCAGAAAAAAATAATTTCTTAGCACTCTTGCCTGCTTCTTGGTCATTTTATGCATATTTTGCAATGCTAAATATATGCACGTGGTGACAGAAGTTAGAGAATTAGCAAGATACTTTTTTAGACTGGCCTTGTCAGGATAGGGTGCTGATGTAATATTGATCTTTTCCTGTAATATTGAAGTTTTTAAGCTTCCCTCCTTTTCCAAAGGAAATCGACCAGGGCAATGTCTCCATAGATTTAAAAATATATGGAATTGTCTCCTCAGAGCATTCTTTTAAAGTCTTTTGTTGTTTGATTAAAGAGAATATTGTGTTTCTCACTCGTTTCTTATTTTTTCATTTTCTATTATTTATTTATTTATTTACTGTGGCTTAATGAAGATAATTTCACATGGATATTATTATAATGATTTTGAACAATTTCTTCCCCCAAGAAATGTAGAAATGGTGGAATTGGCATCTCTCCTTTAACATCATCACACAATAGAAATAATTCCCAAATATGATTTTTTTCTTGAAAGACTAATTGTTGGCCAGGCGCGGTGGCTCACGCCCTTAATCCCAGCACTTTGAGAGGCTGAGGCGGGTGGATCACCTGAGGTCAGGAGTTTGAGACCAGCCTGACCAACATTGTGAAACCCCATCCCCAATAAAAATACAAAAATTAGGCAGGTATGGTGGTGCATGCCTGTAATCCCAGCTACTTGGGAGGCTAAGGCATGAGAATCACTTGAACCTAGGAGGCGGAGGAGGCGGAGCTTGCAGTGAGCTGAGATCGCACCATTGCACTCCTGCCTGGGCAACAAGAGTGAAACTCCATCTCAAAAAAAAAAAGAGAAAGAAAGATTAATTGTTTAATTAGAAAGAGATAACTAAAATTTAAATATAGTTGATAAACATTACTTTCTTTAGTGCAACAGATGTCAGTATTTCTAGTACTTCTACAAAAAAGTCAAGTTACAGAGAATATAATCTCAATTTTTCATCCTCATATTACTTGAAACTTTATGAGCATTTATTGGCATAAAAAAGATACAATATTCTTCCCAAACTCTTTTTCAATTTTTACTCTCAATATAGTTCACTGAGTTTTGGCTCACGATCCCTTTCTCTATCCTTAAAGCCAGCAACTTTGAATCTCTGATCATTCTTCAGTAACTTGCACATGTTTTGGTTATTCATAACTGAGAAATTTTTTAAATAATATAGGGCAAAACAAAATCAAGTAAACTAAAATAGAAAGATCGCCAATGATTCTGATACAGGTAGTCCACAGACCAGGGTTTAGTAACCTCATCAATTGCTACTTGTTGAAGTAAGTGTGTTTTCTATTTGGTTCACTTGAGGAAGATCATAGTTAGGTGAATCAGTAATTGATAATTACTGAAATTCAGTTTTATTTTATTGTTATCATTTATCAGTTAAAAAATAATCTCTACTGTTACTTGGATTTTTTTCTTTATCTGCATTTTGCCCTGATTTGCTACTTTTTCACTCATAGTTTAGTGTGACTAATTAACTAATAGATACACACAAGGCTGACTTTTGCAATAAATTCTTACGTTCAATTACCCATCACTTATATAAGGCTAATCACTTGGACTGAACTCCTGAAGCCAGGAAGCCCAGTTCCACCATTGACACTTGCAAGGATGCAGGCATGATGCCAAAAGGGGAACAGTTGTCTAGGATAGTCTTGTAAAATCAAACCTGTTACACTGAAAATATTTTAGAAGTAAATGAAATATAATGCAATTCTGAGAGCCTAGAAAAAGGATTTATTTAAAGAAATGTGGACAGAAATGGGGAATCCAGAGAAAGTACTGTTTTGTCTGGGGAAGATACTGAATTGATTTATGCAGAGTTTGGGTTAATAGTTGGCTAGACATGGTGGCTCACGCCTGTAATCCCAGCATTTTGGGAGGCTGAGGCAGGCGGATCACAAGGTCAGGAGATCGAGACCATCCTGGCTAACACAGTGAAACCCCGTCTCTACTAAAAATACAAAAACAAAATCAGCCGGGCGTGGTGGCAGGTGCCTGTAGTCCCAGCTACTCGGGAGGCTGAGGCGGGAGAATGGTGTGAACCCAGGAGTCAGAGCTTTCAGTGAACTGAGATCGCGCCACTGCACTCCAGCCTGGGTGACAGAGCAAGACTCCATCATAAAAAAAAAAAAAAAAAAAGTTGGAGATTGTCTCTCAAATAGCAGAGTCTGAGCAGTCAGATGAAATGAGGAACTGAAATTTAAGAGAGCAGCAATGCTGCTGAGCACATGTGTTTAATAATCACCAAACACATTTGGAACCTTTATTAAATATACAGCTAAATATGCCTTACCACAGGCCAACATGTATACTAATGTCTCTCTCATAGAAGTATAAAGTGAAAATTCTCAGTAAGAAATGAGTAGAAATGAACTGAGGCTTTCTCTCTGAGAAATGTATTGTGAATACGGCTCTAACTGCAATTGTATCATTGACCCCTCTGAGCATATGTCATTGAATTGGCCTGTGGATTCCCAGAGGCTGAAGGAATAGGTAGAAAACAGTGTATTCAGCCCCTAGGTGACCACAGTGCAGCATCCTGGTAAACATCTGGTGATTTCTATGGCAATAAGAGATTTCTGGGAGGGTAGGATTTTTTTCTTTTTGTTTGTTTGTTTGTTTGTTTGTTTGAGACACAGTTTCGCTCTTGATGCCCAGGCTGGAGTGCAGTGGCACAATCTCAGCTCACTGCAAACTCCGCCTCCTGGGTTCAAGGGATTCCCCTGCCTCAGCCTCCCCAGTAGCTGGGACTATAGGTGTGCATCACCATGCCCGGCTAATTTTGTATTTTTAGTAGAGATGGGGGTTTCACCATGTTGGTCAGGCTGGTCTCGAACTCCTGACCTCAGATGATCCACCTGCCTCGGCCTCCCAAAGTGCTGGGATTACAGGCGTGAGCCACTGCGCCCAGCCGGTAGGATTTTATTCTTTACTATTGGCTCAATGGTAGCTTCAACTCTTTGTAGTTAGGTCATTCATTGATTAGAAAAACAGATGTATAACTTTGTGTGGGAACACTTAAAACAAGTCCTTTCTCTCACACACACACACCACACACACACAAAGAGGCTGCCTTCAAAAGTTAATCATTGACTAGAACCAGGAAGACAGCTCCCAGCTGCTCTCATTAATACAAATATGTACCTAAAGAAATCTACCTATCCCTGCATGATTCCCTGAAGCATTCATTGGGTGTGGAGGAAGAAATTGCTTCAGGCACTGAGTGATCTGACCCATGACCAGAAACCTGAATCCAGCAAAGGACAAAGTTGCGCACATTGCGTCAGATACAATTTCTGCCATTTACCAGGAAGAACTAGGGGAACCAGGAGAAGGGCCACCTGCTTGGGGCGGGTGAGTCCAGGCGCCCAGATGACTTGGGCCTTTTCTAAGAGTGACCGGAGGAATGCTACCGTGGGACTGTGCATTGAGGTAGCTGGTGATTTTCCTGTGCCTGTAAGGCCCAATGTAAAAGCTTTGCTTTGTCAGTAAACCCCCTTTTGCATCCAAGATGCTGGGAAATGTGGCTGTTGGCAACAGATATCAAACAGAATAATCCTGTTGCTGGGATGGTGATCTCTGCAGCCTGCTTTCACATTACTGAGAGGCTCAATGCATCTACTCAAAAGTACTTTCTGGATCCCTCCTGAAGTTCTTTGAACGCAGAGATATTCTGCGCTGTTCTGTGAGCCTCTAAGTGCTTCTTTATCAAGGGTGGGGGTCGGGGGAGCGCATGAAATGTGTCTGATGGAGGTGAGGGAAAGAAGAGCCAGAAAGTTCACTGGACTAGTGGATTAGAGGAGTGGTTCAATTTACTGTTATTTGAGGCAGCAGAGTCCCTTTTATTTTCCCAAATGAAATTTTATGCACAGCCATCACATAGAAAAGCAGAACTTTGTGTATTTGAGGCTGGATTTTGGGGATAAGCCTCCTGCTGGACTCTGAAAGTTGACTGTCTTGAATTTTGAAAACCACTACAATTGAGATTCATTCCTTTAAAATAGCAATTGTTCTCCTTTCAAGTTGAAAACCTGTGCAATGACTATGTCAAGCCAGAATCTATCCACAATTTAATGCCTCTTGGTATGAATTAGTTTAAATTAGATTTCTTTTTTTTCCTAATAACTGAAATAAATGCACTAAAGAATGTTAATGAAATAGAGGGAAAATAAAATTATTTTTGAAGCATGAGACACTGGTGACATAGGGAGACATATTAAAATGTCTTGGGAGGGGGTTTGAGCACTGGATTTGGTTAGCAGAGCTATACAGTAGAATACTGTAATCATGAGGAGTGACTTATTGCCACTTTCTGTGGCACTTATGCCATTTATTGCCTCTGTGACCTTGGTCAAGTTACTTGACCTCTCTGTGCCTTGGTTTCCTCATTTATAACATGACCTCATATCTTATAGGATTCTTTTGAGATTCAAATATATTGATTTTTTTTTAAGTCTTAGGACAATGTCTGACACATAGTAAGTACCTGTAAGTGTGCGAAGTAACCCTTTTTGAATCAGGGTTCATAAAACCTGTAGGTGTCTTTGCCTTAAATGTTACACACACTAAGGCAGTTACACAGAAGTTATCATTTCTCTGACACTAGCATGTAGTTTTTTGCTTTACTCAGACACAATGTAATAAAAGTTGGTCTCGGCTGAGGGACAGAGACAGAGTAAACCAGTGACAGAATAATAAAGAGGTACATCTGAGACCCGTTAACCACAGCTCTGTAGATAAAATAAAAATGAAATACTAAAGAAGATGTTTTAAGTTAAAATGTTTTATTTTAAGTTGGCATAGTATTTAATATTGTATTAGAAAACTCTTATGTATACCTTAACTGTGGTCATCACATATAAACACATTTTTGCTCTTTTCTCATTTAATGAGAGATACATTATTAGATTACTTTATTTATGAAAGAAAGCTTATCAACAAATTTTAGAAGCTATATCATGCTTATTTTTCAGAAGCATTTAAGGAGAAAATGTAGATAAAATTTAACTGTTATAGAATAAAAAATTAATAAATGATTTCATAAATTGGTTTTTGGAATTTTACATTTTCCACTAAGGGAAAATCAACTGTTCTGTTTTAATTTGTGTTTTGTTTATTAATGATGTGATCGCAGAAGTTGTAAGCACCTCCCTGCAAATGACACATTGTGTAAGTAGAGGTGTCTAATGTATGAATAGCCATGGTGGCCATAATCCTTATGATAGTTCTATGTTTAACTTTGATTTTTGAATCAATCAATACCTTTGGATCTGTTTTTTAAGAGTTCGCTTTGGTAACTGCATCTTATGGATATAGAGAGGATCAGTCTGAAATCAGCTTAGAGAAGTATCATATTAATGGTTCTCACTGATATCTTGTTCTTTGCCATTAGTGTTTCTCCAGTTTCTAGGTTTTTAACAAACAACCCATGATGAGTATAAATTTAACAATATATAACTAAAAATGATCTAAAGCTGTATATTGATCAAAAACTTATAGCAGCTAGTAGGTCTTAGCTGAGTGATAAACCAAGTGACAGAGTAATGAATAAACTCATCTGAGTTCCATTAACCCAATCCTATAAACTTTTAAATAAATAGAAATGGAAGTAGATCCTTTAACAATCTGTTCTCCTGTATTACTGGTTCAGAAACATTTCACAGTTTTGCATAGAATTTAGAGGTTTTCAGAGCAATAAAGCCTCAATTTCTTGAAACAAGTGTGGTAAAGAGAAAATACTTCTGCCTACTGTCATTCCAATGAATGCATTGCAGTGTTTCCAAAGGCAACAAAAAGGCAGCTAGCATTGTGCATCATCAAGAAGATGTTGTATAAACTTATTCTAAGTGTTGTGGTTGAATACAGCCACAATTAAATTAAAAGACATCTCAAGAGAGTCAGTCATCTTTTGTACCTGCTAAGTCAAAGACTTAACTCTTCCCTAGGTCAGAGCTTCTCAAACTGTGTAGTTCATCCAAACCACCTGTTAATATTTTACACACACACACACTCACACACACACACACACACACATTTTAGAGACGGGGTCTCACTGTGTTGCCCAGGCTGATCTCGAACTCTTGGTGTCAAGTGATTGTCCAACCCTGGCCTCCTAAAGGAAGTGCTAGGATTACAGGTGTGAGCCTTGGTGCTAGGCCAGGCATGTTATTTAAATGCAAATTTTGATTTGGCAGCTGGGGAGAAGGCAGCTGAGATTCTGGATCTCTAAGTTTCTAGGTGATGCTGGATGCTGCTGGTCAACCCCCAAGGAACTCCAAGACTCTCTCCAGAGCTGGCGGGAGAATGCTTTTTAAAAATTTTTATTTTATTGTACTAAATGTACTTTTTTTTTTTTTTCCTAGAGACAAGGTCTCACTATGTTGCTGAGGCTGGTCTCAAACTCCTGGTCTCAAGTGATCCTCCTGCCTTGGCCTCTCAGAGTGCTGGGATTACAGCTATGAGCTACCATGCCTGGTTGGGAGAATGCTAAGTAACAATGTTAACTTTTTTTAATGAGGCAGAGTATACAGGAAAATTATAAAGTACCAAAACCATGGCACATATTATATTAGTCTAACTTATCTGTTTCCTTGTTTCATTTCTGTCGCTGGACTGTATATGTTTCTAGCAGGCCTGAAATGGTATCATTAACAACAACAAAGACTCATGATTATCCCAAATCCATCTGTCTCCTTTCTAAACACACAACCCACTGAAACGTTATTTGAGTTTTGTGAAGCTGTGAAAGCTGTGGTTATATATAAATAAACACCAGTGAATAAAGATGGGTATAGAAACAGCAGGTGATAAGGAAAAGCTAGCAGAAAAAAAATCAGAGAACATTTGTTAACTAGAAAAAATCCTGTGTAATATAATTCCTATTTGCCTTAGGGTTCAGACTGCTATACTCTGTTCAAAAAGTGTACATATATTTTTTACATTTGTAATGAAGAAACCCACATATTTACGTGAAAATGATGTAAGTAAATGAATTCAACATGTTGTAAATGACCTCATATTGTTAGTCCAGGAAGAGGGATTAGGGTAGCTGATGACTAAAAACCATTTTTGAATACCCACTATATAAAACTGACATGGATCGTATAATTTAATTTTCGCCCAATCTCAAAAAGTAAGTACATTCTTAAAGTCCCCATTTCACAATTGAATCTGAGGCTCAGAGAGGTTACAGAACTTGCCTAAATTTTTACAACAGCAGAGCAAGGCTTTCAAATTCATTTTTATCAAGTTTATCATACCAGTTCAATGTATTTAAAACTGTACATTGATTTGTTTTGGTGTGGCAGGCATTTTGGGTATCCATAATAAAACTATAACTACTGGCAAGTATGGTGTGGTTAGGAAAGACCACATTGAGGACAAATGCTTTTCAAATTATAAAAATGATAATTTACAAACATGAACAATTAAAACAATATATAAAAAAGTCATCAGATGAAATGTAAAATATCTTATGCTGCCCTCCTAGAAAGGAAATGTTTGGGTCCATGATTCAGAATCTTTAGGAATGGGGCTCCCATACCTGTATGTCGTAGGAGCCCTCCAGGTGGTTCTGAGGCACAGTGCGGGGAGAACACTGACTCAGATCACCCCTAAAGCAAATTTTTCAGTTTCAGGTGGCCATCACACAGCTTATTTGATTTGAGGTTTGTTCTCTTTCCTTTTTCAAATGTACCTTGAATCCACAAACATTTGTGTAAAAGATGCAAATGGCATCATTTTCCAACAACTAGATGGGTGCTATAGTTGAAATCCCAGAACAAAGTTAGCAAATAGGTCAGGTCTGTATCCACCTGTCTGTACTCCCAGCAGAAGTGTCATATGTCTGAGTCACAAGATTTGGCAGGCTGCCTCTGGCATGTCAACTAAATCCCAAATCTGTAAGTGATAGGGAGACAACAAATGAAGAGATTTTTAAAAAATCTTGGAGATGAATTTTTTTTAATGATCCTGGAGGGAAGTTTCCCAGAATCTACGGGAAAGTTTATGTGCACTTTCCGAAATATGTGATGGCTTCTTGTTTGTATCAAAATCCCACTGACACTGTTCTAGTCTCATTTAACTTCTTAGAGCTCAGAGATCCCAAGTGACAATAGTGGTTGGATCAGAAACTGTTGCCCCAGGGAAACAATGGAAATACATAGTAATTTGTCAGCGTCTTCTTCATGGTCTAAAACTGAAGATGCCTTGCTTACCATGCAATTTAATATGGAAATGGTTCAATGACTATAGTTCTTAAAACATGTAAATCAAAAAGGAACCTTTCCTTTCACAGTTGCAGTTAGTAAAACTTGGCTGTGAGAATAAATTCACTTTGTTATGTGAACACTGAGGTGCAAGAGAAAAATATGGGTCAGCTGCCACATGATACACTTCAGGACTATAGGTGCGCACCACCACAACAGGCTAGTTTTTTAAAAAATATTCTTTTGTAGAGACGGGAGTTTCGCTATGTTGCCCACACTTATCTTGAACTCCTGGCCTCAAGTGATTCTCCCAACACAGCCTCCAAAAGTACTGGGATTACAGGAATGAACCACTGTGCCCACCTGTGACATACTGTTGAATCCTTGCTAGTTACACTTTAAAAAGAGGACAAGTTCTTCTTAATCAGTCTTTAAATCTTTGTGCGAAAGTGGCACTGGATACACACAAGTAGGTCAAGAAAACTGGGCTGGGGCAAAGAAGCACGGATGTTGTTGAATGAAACTTGAATGCATTTTCATTTTCAGTTTTTGATCAAGGTGTCAATCCTTTTCAAAAGAATTCTTTTGTTTCTAGCATAAAAAGACATTGAGTACTATTAAAATATAAAATCAACCCGTACACCAGTGACTACTCTTGGCTAACTTTGAAGGTTGGGGTGCTGAATTTTTAGAATTTTAAGCCCATAATTCAGAAATTCAGAACTGCAGTGTCTAGAATATTCATATCCAGTTACAGACTATGGTTTCTAGAAAAGTAAGAATGATCAAGTAAATTGACGCAAATAAAATGATAATTTTTTCTGATTTCAAGGTCTTGACCATAATGAAGGAATGGCCATATATTTAGATGTAATGCCAATTGTATCTTTAAGGTAGTAAGCAAATTAAACCCCGAAATGATTCAAGTTTTAAAGCCATTCAAGCAACGACAACAAAGAACTAATTCATGGCCGGGCTTGGTGGCTCACGCCTGTAATCCCAGCACTTTGGGAGGCCGAGGCAGGTGGATCGATTGAGGCCAGGAGTTCAAGACCAGCCTGGCTGACATAATAAAACCCCATCTCTACTAAAAATACAAAAATCAGAGGGTGTGGTGGCCCATGCCTGTAATCCCTGCTACTTGGGAGGCTGAGGCAGGAGAATAGCTTGAACCCAGGAGGTGGAGGTTGCAGTGAGCCAAGATTGTACTACTGCACTCCAACCTGGGCGATAGAGTGAGACCCTATCTCAAACAAACAAACAAACAATAAAACCAAACCTAAATCATGAGAAGAATAAAAGCAATCCAAACAAAAATAGTACCAGGATTTTGACTATGCTTAATTTATTAAAAAAAAAAAAAAAAAAAAAAACTTCAAAGGTTCTAAAGGTTTTTCTAACACAGAAGTATACAGATTTTTCACTTTCACTTAAATATGTATTCAGCTAGGTGCAGTGGCTCACGCCTGTAATCCCAACACTTTGGGAGGCTGAGGCAGGGGGATTACTTGAACCCGGAAGTTCAAGACCAGCCTGGGCAACATAGTGAGACCGTATCTCTAGAAAAAAATACAAGCATTAGCTGGGTGTGGTAGCACACTTCTGTAGTCCCAGCTACTCAGGAGGCTGAAGTGGGAGGATCACTTGGACCTGGGAGGTCGAGGCTGCAGCAAGCTGTAATGCTGCCACTGTACTCCAGCCTGGGCCACAGAGCAAGACCCTGTCTCAAAAAAAAAAAAAAGAGTACTCAACAGTGTGGCTCCACAGAAAACTTGGAAAACTTCAGAAGTCACAGGTTTGACATTTTACAAGCCAGCTGTAAAACTGCTATTGATTTTATTGATTTGAGTCACAACATATGGAAGGGTGTCCAGAAAGTGATGTGTCCATGTGAAAGAAGACTTCTGTAGCAATTTAGATAAACTGTAGCACTAATTGCTCCTCCCATCCTCAGGAAGAAAATGATACTTTCTATAGGTTCCTTGCATCATGGTATCCCAAAACACCATGGCATAATATCCAGAATGAGGGCAGTCTTACTATCTGTCCAACTCTGTCACTAACTGGTAAGTCAAATGATAACATCCCATACGCAAACCACCAACTTTGACAGCACAGCTTATCATTTGCTATCATATATATCAATTTGAAATTTTGAAGGTTCAACAGTAAATGGGCCTAAGAGGTAACTTTTAAGATAAAATTATTCAGCAACTTGCAATGCATAAATATATCACAAATTCTATCTCAGTCATTCATTCAATAAATATTTACTCAGTGAGTATTTATTTGTCATGTGTTACATGCCAGGCACAGTTTGAGGCTCTGGGAAGATTTCTCTGCTCTCATTATACTCATAGCATGTTTTTTAAAAACAACACTTAAATTTGACAATCTCTACTCATAATTTAGCTTGCCAAGATTTCGAAGAAAGAATTCATTCACGAAGCATGCTTCAGAATGTATGAAATGAGAATATCTCAATGTAACTTTTTCCACTTTCTAGAACAAAATGTTAATGTAAATGGGATACAGTGGTTTGAAGCTGTCAAGAAGTTTAAAGTGGCTAACCGTGGTAAAATTCCCACTTCACCAAATGATGAATATGAATTTTCTATATAGAGGAGCAGCACAGTCTATGTTCTCATAAAACATGTCTTAAGCACTTAAAATGTGGAAGCTGCTTTGAAAATGTAATTATCTATTACTGGTGATGGAAGAGTATGAATATAAAAACTGCGGCATTCAAATCTGGACAGAAGTGCACATGGGCTACTCCCAGGTGCAAGAATGTATGAAACAGCACAGAAGTCTTGAGACCTGTAAGCAGTAGGTAATGAAAGAAATAGCAGGGCTAAATACTGGATAGGGCAAGCCTCTGCTAAGGAGGCTAAAGATAAAACTGGAAAAGGGGATACTAGTATTGACTTACTGACACAAGGAGCTAATTTTCAGATTTTTTCTCTCCCAATACTTCGAATTCTCCTCACTTTAGCCTCTCTGGATTGATCAGAGATAAGAGTGAATGTTTTCTTCATTCTAGTCATGAAACTGTTTACCTGGATGGTCAGTCCTCTGTATCTGTGGCTTCTGCATCTGTGGATTCAACCAACTGTGAATTGAAAATATTAGGGAAGGCTGGGCACCGTGGCTCATGCTTATAATCCCAGCACTTTGGGAGGCCAAGGCGGGTGTATCACCTGAGGTCGGGAGTTTGAGACAAGCCTAGACAACATGGTGAAACCCTTTCTCTACTAAAAACACAAAAATTAGCTGGACATGGTGGCAGGAGCCTGTAATCCCAGCTACTTAGGAGGCTGAGGCAGAAGAATCACTTGAACCTGGGAGGCAGAGATTGCAGTGAGCCAAGACTGCGCCATTACACTCAAGCCTGGGCAACAAGAGCGAAACTCCATCTCAAAAACAAAAAAAAAAAAAAGAAAAGAAAACATTAGGGAAAAATAATTCTGCAAAGTTCCAAAAAGCAAAGCTTGAATTTGCCATGCTCTGAGGACTCTGTTGACTCCACATAAATGAAGTGATGTGTAGGCATTGTATTAGGTAATACACTTAATAGAGATGATTTATACAGGAGGATGTGCACAGATTATATGCAATTACTACATCATTTAATACAAAGGACTTGAGTTTTGGTGTCCTCTGGGGTGGGGTGGGGTGGAAGGGTGAGTTCCAGAACCAGTCTCCCACAGATACCAACAGATGACTGTACTATTTCTACCAATTATGCATATAGCCTCAATCTTTGAGGAAAGATAATTATTTCAAATTCTGTAATCTATGTTTAAATTTGAAGAAGCCTCAGCTTCTCTGTGTAAAAGGAAGAGGTTGGTAACATCACATACAACAGAGACTGTAAGTAACAGAAAACTTGGCCCTAACTGGCCTAAATAACTCAGAAGACTCATTGGATCACATAATGGCCCAAATGGGTCTTATTCCAATGCCCAGTCCCATCGTATTAGTTTGCTAGTGCTGCCGTCATAATAAAGTACCACAGATTGGTGACTTAAACAACAGAAGGTTGTTTTCCCACAGTGCTGTAAGGTAAAAGATGGATATCAAAGTGTGAACAGGGCTGGTTTCTTCTGAGGCCTCTCTCCTTGACTTGTAAATGGCCATCTTGCCATCTTCTCCTCCCTGTGCCCTCACATGGTCTTCCCTCAGAGTTTATCTGAGTCCTAATCTCTTTTTCTCATAAGGACACCAGTGATATTTGAATAGGACCCACCCAGATGACCTCATTTTAACCTAAAAACCTATTTAAAGACCCTCTCCCCAAATATGGTCACATTCTGAGATTCTAGGGGTCAGGACATTAACAAATGAATTTTGGGAGGACCCAATTCAGCCTATAATAGCCACCCTAATGACACAGACTTGGCTGTGCTAATTAACTTAGACTTGGGTTTCTGAGTCAATGAGATAACCTCCACTGCTAAGTCAGGTCCATCCCCAAAGTACATTGGCAGCATCAGGGAGGACTGGGTGAAAATGAGGCTGGCAGAGGGAATCAGCAGCTGGCAACAACTACCATAGGAGGGCTGGCCTAAGCGATTGCTAAGATTACTTCTACCTCTAAAATGCAATGATTCAAAATTCCAACTATTTTTTCTCACAATGTACTAAATGTTAACTCAAAACAAAGCAACAGGTGGAATTTTGATAACAGTAAATCAGAGATAGGGGATTTTACAAGTTGTATTGCCAGAGAAGCCAGCGGGGAAGGATGACATTCTATGAGAGGCATAGCTCCATTATCTCTTTATAGTGGTAATGGAAAACAAGAGCATGAGCTCCAGGCAAGTATGAATTAAGGAAAGAAGGAATCATTTGGCTGAATGTAGGGAGGGAGAAACATGGTTCAGCATGTCCTACATTTCATACCATTGAATACAGTAAGGGTTCTGTAAATGTCAAAGGGTATTGGCAAAGACAGTTGATGAAAAAGTTCTTCAGCTTTTGACTCAATCTTTGATTGTGTTAGGTTAAACCAGGAGGAATTCATATTTTATAGGTTAAAATGATTAAATATTGGCAAATTCATGGTTTACCCTGGTAAAGACCCTTCTTAGTAAGCTTTAAAGATATGTATTCTAAAATAAAGCAGCAAAGATAAAAGGTTTATAAAAGGAAATATCTCAGAACTCAAATTCCATTTCAGCCTGATGGCTACAATAGACTTTATTTATGATACAATACCAAATTATGACAATGACAATCTTGGCTGATTTAGAAAAAGCTTAATTATATTTTACATGATCTGTTGTCTATGTCTGAGGACTATATATAATAAATATAAAAGCATTCAGCAAACTAATAAAAATTGTAACATTTGTTAGTTTTAATTATCTTAAACATCTTTCCTATTTGTAGAAAGTAACTGAATTTCCAACTATAGATGGGAAAATATGATTTTCTGAGTTTTACATGAATAGTAGATAAATGACTTGTCTCCCAATTTCACTCTCTCTACCTTCTCTAGCTTCTAACTGCATTGGCACTGAAATCTCAAGACTGATTTGATGCGTCATTTGTTTTGTTTGGACCTCAAGTTAGAATTTTTAAAAAATATTTTTAGGTATAAATTAAAAGGCCTATATAGGCCTTAATGGAAAAGAAAAATTGGCACCAGACTAGAAGAATCCCATAATATTCTTACTATATTATATTTGATTTAGCCTTTAGTCTCATGTTCTTTCCCCCAAGTATGTGAAGAGTTTCCATATATATATATATATATATTTTTTTTTTTTTTTTTTTTTTTTGAGATGGAGTCCCTCTCTGTCACCCAGGCTGGAGTGCAGTGGCACAGTCTCGGCTCACTGCAACCCCCAGGGTTCAAGTGATTCTCCTGCCCCAGCCTCCCGGGTGGCTGGGACTGCAAGCATGCGCTGCCATGCTCAGCTAATTTTTGTATTTTTAGTAGAGATGAGGTTTCACCATGTTGGCCAGGCCGGTCCCAAACTCCTGACCTCAAGTGATCTGCCCACTTTGGCCTCCCAAAGTACTGGCATTACAGGTGTAAGCCACTGTACTGGGCCTAAAACACAATTTTTTATTAGACCCTTTTATTAGAATTTTCTTCTTCACTCTACTAAAATTATTATTATTATTTTGAGATGGAGTTTCACTCTTGTTGCCTAGGCTGGAGTGCAATGGTGCGATCTCGGCTCACCGCAACCTCCGCCTCCTGGGTTCAAGCGATTCTCCTGCCTCAGCCTCCCGAATAGCTGGGATTACAGGCATGTGCCACCATGCCTGGCTAATTTTGTATTTTTAGCAAAGATAGGGTTTCTCCATGTTGGTCAGACTGGTCTCAAACTCCCAACCTCAGGTGATCCGCTCTCCTCAGCCTCCTAAAGTGTTGGGATTACAGGCGTGAGCCACCATGCCCAGCAATTATTTTACTTTAAGAGAAATTTTGTGTTTCAAAAGTTTCTCTTTATTACTTCATCTCTCTCCCTTTAAAGTTATATTTTGGCTGGGCATGGTGGCTCATGTCTGTAATCCCAACACTTTGGGAGGCTGAGGCAGGAGGATTGCTTGAGGCCAGGTGTTCAAGACTAGCCTGGGCAACATAGTGAGACCCTGTCTCTATAAACAGTTTATTAAAAATAAATAAATAAATAAAATAAACTTATATTTGATGTTTGTAGGCTTTACATTGATATTTCTTAGTCAGTTTAGACTGCTACAGATTACCATACATTGGGTGGCTTAAACAATAATTTCTCACAGTTGTAGAGGCTGAGTTCAGGGTGGTATTGTGGTTGAGTTCTTGGTGAGGGCCCTTTTCCTGGTTTACAGAGGGTCATCTTCTTGCTATGCCTTCACATGGCAGACAGAGAGGTAACTAACTTTCTGGTTTCTTCTTATAAGGGCACTAATGCCATTTATAAGGGCTCTACCTTTATGATCTAATTACCTCTCAAAGGCCCCACCTCAAGCACATCAGGATCTCTGTTTCAGTATATAAATTTGGGGAGAACACAAACATTCAGCCCATTTCATAAGGAAAAATAGGCTCCCAAGAATATTTCCCATAAATTTCTAACAAGAAAAACATCACTCATGGCTACCATATGGAAAAGTTATTGAGAAGACCCTCGGTACATTTTTAAATTTAGATTGCTTTGCTTATTTCACATGTTTATTAAGAAAAATATAATTCTATCTGCATACAATCTGAGAAACTTAAACTAGATTTTTGCAGTAGAGCAAGGGTTGCTAATCAGAGTTTTTGGTGGAATAGTACAATATTCAATTAAAAAATAAGATAATTGTTTCTGTTTTGAGACATTAAAGAAACATCATTTTTCTCATTTTCTTTTCCCCAAGGTGATCTCTAAAAAAAATTTCTATTATTTAATTACTAAGTTTGTTGAAGTTTAATTACTCATGTGGCTATTATTGGCAGAGGCAAAGTGCAAAAGTCATCCTTTTTCCTCCACATAGACACAAATGTTGGCCTGCACTACAGATCACCATGGGAGCTGTTTATTTTGCAATTAAGTAAGAGTAAGGCAAATGTCTCAAGTTATTACTTAGTGTCCCTCCCATCATCTTCCCCCCTACACCTCTTTAAAGATTATTAAAATCAATACCGAAAGGGATTTGGGTAAAATAAAATTATGGGCTTAAATAAATTAGTTGAAACTTAACAGAGATCAGAAGAATTATGTGCATTTAGATTTATGTATAAAATAGACATGTTATCTGGAAGTAGATTGCTCTAAAAAACTTGGAGATTTTAGATAGTTACAAACTTAATATAAGCAAAGTATAATATGGCTATCTTGTATTGCAAAATAGAAGTATTGTGATGAGATTGTACTAAGTAATATTCTCAGCGTTCTGTGAACTGGTCAGGTCACACTTGAGTTGTCTTAATGTTCAGATTTTTGAGAACAATGCGGATAAAATGATGTTGATGAGCAGACTAAAAAACTGTCCTGTAAGAAACAATAGATGGAATTAGAGATATTAAGGCTAGGAGAAGACTAAGGGAGAAAAAAATCACTAACATTCAGTTAGCATCTCTTTTGTATCAGGAATTGTAAGTTACCTTCTAGAACCTTACTTAATTCTCAAAATAATAGTATGCTATAAGGATTATTATCTCTTACTAACCAATGCCTCTTTGTGATTAAGCAACGTGTCAGAAGATTCATCAGCCAGCACAAGTTGTGACTCCAGCTCCCACGTGTCTGAGATCAAAGCCTGTACTTTTCTTACCACACCATAGGTCACTGTCAACTACTTTAGGTTCTACAAGAAATTATGTGTCAAGAATTGTTTCATTCAACCCTTTGTTCAACACTATTTTGAGCAAGTATAGTATACAAGTCACTGTGCCAAGATTCTGTTCAAAGTGAGTTTCTGGGTTCTTAGAGGAAATAAAAATATGTGCCTGAATAAATGTAATGCAATATGGAAAGCAAAATTAACATGAGAATTAATGTGCTTCCGGGAGGAAATACTGCTGCTGAAGAAGAAATGTGACATTTGAGCTGGGCTTTGGAAAATAGAGTGATTTGGATGTGCTGAAATGTGACAGGGAGAGCATCCCAGGCAGAAAGAACAGCATGCTTGTGGGAAAATGAAATGCATGTCTAGGAAATACCAAATAGTTTAGTGCAGCTCTAGCATATAGTATGAGAAAGTTAATGAGGAATATGTTGGATAAATGGATTGACCTAGATGAGGGAGGGTCAGAAATGCCAGGCTAATGAATTCTGTGATGTTCTCTAGGCAATGGGGAGTCACAATTGATATCTCAAAAGTAGGGCAATGATCATGGCCCCAGATAGCTTTTTTTGTGTGTAAAGAACATACTGTGTAGGGCAGAGAATAAGGTGGGAGAATGTTGAAGGCTTTTATGGTTCCAAGAGAGAGCTAACGACAGTCTGGGTTATAGTACTGTCCAGCCTTCTTCTATTCCTCTTTTTTTAAATTTAAATTAATTTTTTTTTAGAGACAGGTTTCTCTCTGTCACCCAGGCTGAAGTGCAATGGTGTGATCATGGCTTACTGCAGCCTCCACCTCATAGGCTCAAGTGATCCTCCCACCTCAGCCTCCCAAGTAGATGGGACTACAAGCGTGCATCAAAACACCTGGCTAACGTTTAAATTTTTTGTAGAGATGGGGGTCTCCCTTTGTTGCCCAGACTGGTCTCAAACATCTGGGCTTATGTGATCCTCCTGCCCCAGCCTCCCAAAGTGTAGTGATTACATGTGTGAGGCCCCTGTACCTGGCCTTCTATTCCTTTTTAAGGCCACTCAATCCTTATATACACCACCCAACTGCTGGCCTACCAAATGGGGTCTTGACCTACCCCACTTTGCCTTTTCTGAACCTCCTCTGCCTTCATCTGCATTCAATAATCAAGATTCTTGGCTCTCTGGCTTCTGCCTTTAAATGGGCCCATGTATCTGACTTTCATCCTTACTTTTCTGGTATTTGGTCACCTGTTTTCTCCCATGCATTCTGCTTTGATTCACTTTCCGATCCTTGAATTATTCCATCATCTCAGGTAGGCTGATGATGCCTCAGCCTCTGCCTTAGTCCTGTAGAACACACTTCCACATGTAGCAGTCAGGATTCATGGTTGCAAGCAGAAACTATTCTATAATAACTAATTTAAGCAGAAAAATAAGGTGAATTTAATAAGGATATTTGGTACCTCATTGAATCTGCAAGGGGTCTGGAGAGTAAGGTCCAGAGGCTCTGCGGCCAGCATCCATGCCCATGTCACACTCTGAGGGCTGCTCAAGGCGAGAGGGTGCTACAGCTCCTGCATGGTACAGACACCACAGCCTCCACCAATAACTCTGGAGACCCAACACCAGAAATTTCACCACCGGTGCCTGGCAGAGCTGGTGCCTCTCTTGTCATTCTTATGAAATGGTAGATGACAAGGGCTCCTGCTTCCTAGGGTTGTTCAGTTCTGAAGTGAAAACTTTATGATCATGTCTGATTGGCAAAGCCTAAGAGGATGCAGAGATGAATTGATATGGTTTGGCTCTGTCCCCACCCAAATCTCACTTTGAATTGTTGCTCCAACAATTCCCATGTGTCATGGGAGGAACTCAATGGGAAGTAATTGAATCATGGGGGTAGGTCTTTCCCATGCTGTTCTCATGATAGTGAGTAAGTCTCATGAGATCTGATGGTTTTATAAGGGCAAGTTTCCCTGCACAAACTCTTTTCTTGCCTGCCGCCATGTAAGATGGTCCCTTGCTCTTCCGCCATGATTGTGAGGCCTCCCCAGCCATGTGGAACTGTGAGTCAATTACACCTTTTTCCTTTATAAATTATCCAGTCTCAGGTATGTCTTTATGAGCAGCATGAAAACGGACTAATATATGGATGTATCACAAAGCTAATGAATCTTAAGCCTCAGGGCCCTGTACTTATGCAGACCCTTTCCAAGGCCCTGGGAGAGCCCTAGGAATAAATGTCTGTCCTATGTTTTTGTAAAATTTGCAGTAGAAATATTGTACCTGCAATTCTGACTTCTGTCAACCTCACTAAATTTACACAATATTATCAATCATCAGTTGTGAAGCTTAAAGACACTTTTCTAAACTGTCAATCAAAAAATCAATTGACCAGATAGGACAAAGGAGACTAAAGTACTTTTTTTCTTTTTATAAAAAAAAAATTGGTCTCCCTCTCCCTTTCCCTCTCCCTCTCCCTCTCCCCCCACTTTCCACGGTCTCCCTCTGATGCCGCTCCCTCATCTCGCACTTTCCACGGTCTCCCTCTGATGCCGAGTCGAGGCTGGACTGTACTGCCGCCATCTGGGCTCACTGCAACCTCCCTGCCTGATTCTCCTGCCTCAGCCTGCCCAGTGCCTGGGATTGCAGGCGCGTGCCGCCACGCCTGACCGGTTTTTGTATTTTTTGGTGGAGACGCGGTTTTGCCGTGTTGGCCAGGCTGGTCTCCAGCTCCTGACCGCGAGTGATCTGCCCGCCTGGGCCTCCCGAGGTGCCAGGATTGCAGACGGAGTCTCGCTCACTCAGTGCTCAATGTTGCCCAGGCCGCCCATCGTCTGAGATGTGGGGAGCTCCTCTGCCCCGCCGCCCTGTCTGGGATGTGAGAAGCGCCTCTGCCCGGCCGCGACCCCGTCTGGGATCTGAGGAGTGTCTCTGCCCGACCGCCACCCCATCTGGGAGGTGAGGAGCGTCTCTGCCCGGCCGCCCCGTCTGAGAAGTGAGGAGCCCCTCCGCCTGGCAGCCGCCCCATCTGGGAAGTGAGGAGCGTCTTGCCGGGCAGCCGCCCCGTCCGGGAGGTGGAGGGCAGCACCCCCCCCCCAGCCAGCCGCCCGTCCGGGAGGGAGGTGGGGGGCAACCCCTGCCCGGCCAGCCACCCAGTCCGGGAGGGAGGTGGGGGGCAGCCCCCGCCCGGCCGCTGCCCCGTCCAGGAGGTGGGGGGCGCCTCTGCCTGGCCATCCCGTCTGGGAAGTGAGGAGCCCCTCTGCCCGGCCGCCACCCTGTCTGGGAGGTGTACCCAACAGCTCATTGAGAAAGGGCCATGATGACGATGACGGTTTTGTCGAATAGAAAAGGGGGAAATGTGGGGAAAAGAAAGAGAGATCAGATTGTTACTGTGTCTCTGTAGAAAGAAGTAGACATAGGAGACTCCATTTTGTTCTGTACTAAGAAAAATTCTGTCTTGGGATGCTGTTAATCTATAACCTTACCCCCAACCCTGTGCTCTCTGAAGCATGTGCTGTGTCCACTTAGGGTTAAATGGATTAAGGGCGGTGCAAGATGTGCTTTGTTAAACAGATGCTTGAAGGCAGCATGCTCATTAAGAGTCATCACCACTCCCTAATCTCAAGTACCCAGGGACACAAACACTGCGGAAGGCCGCAGGGTCCTCTGCCTAGGAAAACCAGAGACCCTTGTTCACATGTTTATCTGCTGACCTTCCCTCCACTGTTGTCCTATGACCCTGCCAAATCCCCCTCTCCGAGAAACACCCAAGAATGATCAATAAATACTAAAAAAAAAAAAAAAAAAAAAAATCACAGATCTGGATGTGGTGGCTCATGCCTGTAATCCGAACACTTCAGGAGGCCAAAGTGTGAGGATCACTTGTGGCCAGCAGTTCAAGACCGGCCTGAGCAAGCTAGTGAGATCCCTTCTCTACAAAAATATTTTAATATGAAAAATTATGAAATCATTGTCATGTGAATTAATAATCAAAGAGTTAAAATAATGTAGTTAAAATAATGAAGAAAAATATTAAAGAGGTACATTAGGCAAATTATTGATTTAAAAATTACATTGTTTTTCTGGATTTGTGGTGTTCATGGTACTGGTTATCTCCTAAAATTTGTAGTTTTGATTTTTTTTTCTCATTCAAATTGTGAAGTTAATTTTTAAACCTAATTTTAAATTTGTAATTTTGTTGCTTTGTAAAAAGAAGGCCCCAAAATTGTATTAGGGTCAAACCCCTACAAAACTGGAATCTGCCCCTGGCTGGATCGCTATATCCTAACTAAGATAGGGTAAGAGAGCCAGTCCTAGCTTCTGCCTTGAGAAAGGGCTCATCATATGCGGAATTCTCCAAACATAGGAAGGGTGTTTAAACATGCTAGGTGGCCTCAGACATGACAAATATCCCTTATACTATGCTTGAGTGTATGTTTGGTATTTAGGAATAGTACCTCTCTTGAGAAAATATACTTGGAAAGATTTTGGAAAGGGAATGGAGAGGCAGGAACACATGACAGAAATATTGCGTACACATGGTGAGAAATTGGATTGTGCATGAGACGTGATGACCCTGAGGGTTAGCATAGATAATTATCAGGATGGTGCTGGGTGCGGTGGCTCATGACTATAATCCTGGCACTTTGAGAGGCCAAGGCGGGGGATCTCTTGAGGCCAGGAGTTTGAGACCATCCTGGCCAAGATGGTGAAACCCCATCTCTGCTAAAAATACAAAAATTAGTAGGCCTGGTGGTCCATGTTTGTAATCCCAGCTACTCGCGAGGCTGAGGCAGGAGGATCACTTGAACCCAGGAGGCGGAGGTTGCAGTGAGTCAAGATTGTGCCATTGTACTCCAACCTGGGCAACAGAGTGAGACTCCATCTCAGAAAAAAAAAAAAAAAAGGCTGGGCACAGTGGCTCACACTTGTAATCCTGGCACTTTGGGAGGCTGAAGCCGGTGGACCATGAGGTCAGGAGTTCGAGGCCAGTCTGGCCAACATGGTGAACCCCGCGCCCCCCCGCCCACCCGTCTCTATTAAAAATACAAAAATTAGCTGGGCATGATGGCAGGTGCTTGTAATCCCAACTACTCGGGAGGCTGAGTCATGGGAATCACATGAACCCTGGAGGCGGAGGTTGCAGTGAGCTGAGATCACACCACTGCACTCTAGCCTGGGCGATAGAGTGAGACTCGGTCTCAAAAAAAAAAAAAAAAAAGTATCAGGATGGCAATGCCAATAACCAAGATAGGCATCTCAAAGCTGATACAGATTCAGGGAGGAATTGGGGAGACAGAGAGTTGGATTTGAAACATTATGGGATTCAAATTGTATAAGTCTTTGGAAGGACCAAAGTTAGCAGAACTATTAGTATTAATTCACTAACTCTAAAAAAAAAAAAAAATCACCATTTCATAGTGCTGGATGAAGGGTAGTACAAACTACACTTATAAAATGTAACTTAGCAGTCAAAAGGGGTTAAATAAAATAACAGATCAATTTAGAAAAAAAATCAACAAATGTAATTGAAAGCCAGGTGTAATTAAAAGGCATATTAGGCAAAATATTACTCATGATTAAATACCAGAGATCCTGCTTTGATTTAACCAAATTTTAACCTTTTTTACCCTAAAAAAAATAGCACAACTAGAAAGTACTACCAAAACAAAAACCCAACCCAATATAGGCTGGGTGCGGTGGTTCACGCCTGTAATCCCAGCACTTTGTGGGCCCGAGGAGGGCAGATCACCTGAGGTCAGGAGTTTGAGACCAGCCTGGCCAACATGGTGAAAGCCTGTCTCAACTAAAAATACAAAAAATTAGCCGGGCATGGTGGCATGTGCCTGTAATCTCAGCTACTCAGGAGGCTGAGGCAGGAGAATCACTGGAACCTGGGAGGCAGAGGTTGCAGTGAGCTGAGATTGCGCCACTGCACTCCAGCCGGGACTACAGAGGGAGACTCCATCTCAAAACAAAAAACAAAAGAAAAAACAATATAATAGTATAATATTCTCATTTTACATATGGATAAACTAAGCCTTAGAGAGTAGTTAAATGACCTGCCTGTTTGTGGACAGTGGTCTGGACTCCAGTGCTCTTAGCCAGAACATTTTATTGTCTTTCAGCATTCAATTATGCTGCCTTCACTATTTTGCTGGAACACACCTATGTAGGAGAGCATTATGCAAATATATCGGCTTTGTTCCACCACAACCATGGTGAGCTAAATTTAACTTTGATAGCCTCACATCCTTATTAAGAAACAATGACCCATTCAGAGTTGCACAGAAACACGTGACCAATAAAATTGTATTCCTCGAGTGTCCAGCTTTTGGCAACTCTGCTGTTTAGGGTGTAGAGCTTGTATAAAGGAGGAACATGGCTTAATGTGACTTTGTTTGAATAACAGGAAGACAGAAGTTATTTGTATTCTAGTGAATTATATTTAGTCTTTTTTTTCCTTTCCAATTTCAGGTGGGGGACTTTAACTGGGCTCCAGGGAAAATGAGACCAGGAAGCTACGGGCATCCTTCCTGGAGCTTACCTACAGGTGTATGGTTGTACATCCCTATCCAAAGTAACCGTACCCTAATTTTCAGCCCTTTTTATTTCCTACATTTTATTCATCACAGTTACTTTTCTTATGTGTTTGCCTATTCTCTTTCTTTCTCCTAGAACATACACATTTTTTTTCTTTTCTTTTCTTTTTTTTTTTTTTTTTTTTTGAGACAGAGTCTCACTCTGTTGCCCAGGCTGGAGTGCAGTGGTGCAATCTTGGTTCACTGCAACCTCCACATCCCAGGTTCAAGCAATTCTTGTGCCTCAGCCTCCAGAGTAGCTGGGACTACTGGCATGTGCCAACACGCCCGGCTAATTTTTGTACTTTTAGTAGAGCCGGGTTTTCACCATGTTAGCCAGGCTGGTCTCGAACTCCTGACCTCAGGTGATCTGCCCGCCTCGGCCTCCCAAAGTGCTGGGGTCACAGGCATGAGCCACCACGCCCTGCCATAGAATATACACTTTTAACAGGGATAACATTACCCCTGAGGGAGTGAAAGTTGATTCTTGGGAGCAAAAAGCCATTGATATTTCTGTGTATAATGCATGGATATAGACACAGTACATAAATATATACACGATATCTGTGGTATCAAAATTCCATGGTGGAGCAGTTAGGAAAGGAGTGTCTAAAAATGTTTCTTAGGGGGCAATAATGAAAAAATGGTAGAGAAACAATATTCTGGGAACTAAATTTCAGAAGGGCAGGGCCTACAGAATCCTTGCAGATTGCAGTCCCAGTGTTTGCCAATGTCCCGCACAGAGTTAGGGCATAGTAAAGGGTATAATGAATATTTTGAAGAATCAACTGTTCATCCACCTTTTTGACAACAAATCACATTTCACATAGTGTTGTCATTATTTTAAAGAAGGGAAAAGCGGAGAGTTGGGTAAAGGAAGCTATGAAGTGGAAATGTGTTTCTTTTTAAGGAAACTAGGCAGGTAGGGCAGGAATACCTATATATAAAAAATTAAGTTTTCAACTCAGAAGTGAAGTTGCTTCTCTATTTTTCCAGAAGCCTACTCTGTCACAATTGACTAGTGCTGACTTTTAGATATCTTTGTGCAAAATGCCTAATTTAGAAACTAGCATACAGCATTCAAATCAGAACTTTTCTATTATTCTGAAAATAGAATGTTTTGCCTAAAGTCCTTCGTAGGTATTATTACATCTTCCACATGAGGCCAGACCCAAATGTGATGAGCTCAAAGCCCTGACTGCCAAGAAGCGGGTGTGACATCTGGGAGAAGAGAAGTGCAATGGTTCCAGACATTTATTTCATAGTATCCATTCTTGGCCAGAGAGGGCCGGCCCCATGCCTGTCTCCTAATAGACTAATATTGGGCTCCTTTTAGGTCAGCGTTGGGACAGCTGACGCTAATTGAGACAGTAAGCATTTCTTGTGGTCTATTTCTATTTCCCCAGCACAAGACTTCTTCTTGCAGCTTCCTCTTATCATGCAAAGTCACAACATCTGAGAGTTTTTCAGAAACAAAAGAAATGCTACAGTTATGATCTGGTGTTAACTGACTTCTCCTGGACCCTGTACTTTAAGTGCCCATGGTCATACAGGAAAACTCCTTTTTGTTTTTTTGTCTTGTTTTGTATTTGAGACAGGGTCTCACTCTGCTGCCCAGGCTGTAGTGCAGTGGTGCAATCTCGGCTCGCTGCAACCCCCGCTTCCCGGGTTCAAGTGATGCTCCCACCTCAGCCTCCCATGTAGCTGGGACTACAGGTGTGTGCCACTGCACCTGGCTAGTTTTTGTATTTTTTGATAGAGAAGGGATTGCACAGTGTTGGCCAGGCTGGTCTCAAATTCCTGACCTCAAGTGATCTGCTCACCTCAGCCTCTCAAAGTGCTGGAATTACAGGTGTGAGCCACTGCGCCCAACCAGGAAACTCCTTTTAATATGAAGATCTTCAAGGGCATTCCATCCTCTAGTGTTGGTTTTATCCTCATCAGTGTCCTGTTCTATACACCTTAAGTGTCATGAGAGTCCCATAGGTTGGGTTAAGTAGACAGAAACACTCTTGACAGCATGTTATACCAAATAGAATTTCTACATATGAATTAGAAGTTTCTGAGCAAAGCAATAACAATAATAAAAGAATAGAAAATAAATATATTTAGAAAAAATTAAAAAATTATTCTGAAAGAGGCAGCTAAAGTGATTTAACAAAGAAGTATCTACAGATGAGGAATAAAAACATGTCCCCGTATTTCACCCATTTTAAGATGAACTACATGTTTGTAGAAATGATTACACAAGGATAAATTTCTTGGAAACATAGGAAAATATATTCCACTGGAGAACAGGAGATTTGGGGGAGGAGATTTTGACTGCAAGAAGGAAATGGAATTTGGAACACAGGAGGGTTGTTAGCCTTTGAAAGGGATCCACTCTTTCTTTGAGACTTTTGGAAAAGGAAAAAGTGATAGACACGGGGAAACACTCAGGTGAAAAGTTAGCCAGAGTTGTGATGATAGATATATCTTGATTTATCTCAAGAAGACCACTCTTGAAGTCTGGACTCAGTGAAGCCTGCATTCAGAATTATTTTCTGAGTCCATGTGAATGCTCCCCTGGAGCTGTTATTCCATCCTCTCCTTCATCATCCATGTTGTAAAATCCACGAGCCCTTATAGGCATGATGGTCAGGGTTGGCAGGTTGCTTCCAGTCAGTGGAAAAGAGCATGATCCTTAGTATACCTTGGTTGTACTAGCACCATACAAACTGCCCCACCACAGGAAGGTGACAGAGGTCATCAACTTTAATGACAGCAGTGAGGAGGAACTGAGAACTATGAGCTAGGAAGAATTTGAAACAGCCCGTGTGGGAAGTATATGTGGGAGTTCGTGTGCACTGATAAAGTGTTATTGACTTTCAGTAGTCAAAAGAAGAATGAAGGACATTTATACGGAGATTTTTAACCTAGGGAATTCAAACAATTATAGTGCACATTTTCAAGAAAGAATGAAGTAAAATTATGAAGTACAGTAGAGGCTCTCTGATAGACCTCCATTTAACCAAGTCTCCAGATTAGTTGATCCTCCCATTCTCTTGAAAATGTTCTGACAGACTGGGCGTGGTGGCCCACGCCTGTAATCCCAGCACTTTTGGAGGCTGAGGCAGGAGGATCCCTTGAGTCCTGGAGTTCAAGACCAGCCCGGGGAACATAGTGAGACCCCTTATCTACGAAAAGAAAAGAAAAGAATGTTCTGACAGATGCCTATGACAGACTGTCATACAAATTGCTCATGGCTAGTTCACTTTCTAGTTCTTTTCACCTCTCATGAGCTAAATTGTTTGTGCTAAGAACACTTGTTATTGTAATTATGCACTTTCTATTTCTTTTAAACAATTATCATACATTAAAATCGACTTTTTTTGTTATACAGTTCTATGAATTTCAACTAATTTATAGGTTAGTATAACCACCACCACAATTAAAGACACAGAAAACTTCCATTGCCCCCAAAAGTTTTTCATGCTATTCTTTTTATAGTCACACTCTCCCCTTAATGCTACAGTTTTGTCCTCTGGTACAAACCCCTGATCTGTTCTTTAACCCTACAGTTTTGTCTTCTGGAAAATCATATAGATGAATTTATGTAGCATGTAACCTTTTGACACTTTTTTTTTTCGTTCAGCATAATGCTTTTGAGATTCAGTCAAACTGCTATATGTTTCAATGGTTTGTTCTTTTATACTGCTATGTAGAATTTTATTTCAGGGATGTGCCCCAGTTTGTCTACCCATTCACACACTGAAGGATATTTGTTTCCTGTTTGTGGCTATTGTAAATAGAACTGCTATAAACAGTCATACGCAGGCTTTTGTGTGACTATACATTTCCATTTCTCTAAGATGACTGCACTGAAAGTCAATTTCTGGGTAAATATGGTAAATTTGGTAAACATAAATATGGTAAATTTATGTTTAACTTTTTAAGCCAGATTGTTTTCCAGAGTGGCTGTCCCATTTTGTATTTCCACCAGCAATGTATGAGAGCTTCAGTTGTACTGCCTTCTTATCAGCCCTTGGAATTGTCAATATTTTTAAAAGCCATCTTAATGGGTGTGATGTGGTATCCCGTTATGTTTTTAATTTTTATTTCACTAATGGATAAATATATTGAATATCTTTTCATGTGCTTATTTGCAATCTATATATCTTCTTTTGGTTAAGTGTCAACCATCAGTTCTTCCAATCTATTTTTAGCAACACATTCTTTTCTTCTTTGGAGACTCTAATTAAACAGAAGTTAAAACTTTTGTTATTATCCACAAGTTCTTAAGGCTCAGTTCATTTGCTTTTATTATTTTAGTAGAGATGACATTTTACTGTGTTGCCCAGGGTGATCTCAAACTCCTGAGCTCAAGCAATTCTCCAGCCTCAGCCTCCCAAAATGCTGGGATTATAGGTGTGAGCCACCACGTCCAGCCACGGTTCATTTTTTAAACTTTTTTTTGTTTGTTGTTCAAATTGGATAATTTCTATTGGTCTGTCTTCAAGTCCATTGATTCTTTGCTCTATTATCTCCATCCTGCTATTAAGCTCAGCCAATTAGTTTATTTTCATTATTTTATTTCCACTTCTAAAATTTTTATTTGGCTCTTTTTTTTTCCTTTTTTTTTTTTCTGAGATGGAGTCTCACTCTGTCACCCAGGCTTGAGTACAGTGGCATGATCTCAGCTCACTTCAACCTCTGCCTCCCAGGCTCAAGCAATTCTTGTGCATTCAAACTATTCTCTTGCCTCGGCCTCCCCAGCAGCTGAGACTATAGGCTCCACCACCACTCCCATCTAATTTTTGTATTTTCAGGGGAGACGGAGTTTCACTATGTTGGCCAGGCTGGTCTTGAACTCTTGTCCTCAAGTGATCCACCCACCTCGGCCTCCCAAAGTGCTGGGATTACAGGTGTGAGCCACCCTGCCTGGTCTACTTGGCTCTTCTTTATAGTGTTTCTTTCTTTGGTGAAACTTTCTAATTTTCTATGTGATTCAAGGGTATTTGTGATTGCATGTTGAAGTATTTTATAATAGCTGCTTTAAAATTTTTATCAGGTAATTCTAACATAAATTTCATCTTGGCTTTGGCCTCTATTAATTGTCTTGACCTATTCAAATTGAGATGTTCCTGACTTTTTGATATCAAGTAATTTTGGGTTCTATGCTGGACATTTTGAATATTATGTTATGAGATGCTGGGCCTTGTTTAAATCCTATGGAGAATGCTGCTATTTTTGTTTTCGCAGACAAATAATCTAGTTAGGTTCAGGTCACAATTTCCAATGTACTTTCAGTGGATTGTGGTTCCAACACCAATTCGGTGTTCAATGCCTTTGCTGTGCTGTTGGGATCTGTCCCACATGTTCACCACCCAGTGGCCAATATGATATGGGGGCCAAGAATTTATCTGCTAAGTTCTCAAAGTCTTATAAAAGTCATATAAATGCTGATTAAGTTCAGATCTATGTATGTGCAACTTTAGAGTGAGCTTGGCATTCATAAATAACTTTATGGGGTTACTTTTCCAAGTACTTCTCTTTCCCAGTACTTTCCAGTTTCCTGGACTCCCCTTTTTTGGTTTTGTGGCCTGAAAGGTGGAGCTCTGTTTATACGACTCTGCTGTAAACTTCCATAGCTGTGCCCACCTGTGGGGCTAAGCCTTGGGAGGACTGGAGGAAAAAAGCTGATAAACTCAATGCCACTTCAGTCAGTGGTACTTCACATTCTGGACTTTCCTCTGGCCTTAATCTGCCTGCTATTATTTACTTTTCAGATAAACAGCTGTTGCTTGCATTCTGTCCAGATTTTACAGCTGCATTCAGTGAGAAAGACTGGGAGGAGTGTGCTTACCCTTCTCTAAACCCAAACCCTTATAGATTTTAATTAAACATTATGTAAACAAATATAACATGAGTGCAGAAACAAAAATAGTTAAAGTTTCATAATATAAAAAGTTATGAACCAACACACACACACACACACACACACACACACACGTGGTCAAAGTTTACTGTAGTAAATTGAATACTTTGGAGGATCTCTGATCTCTACAGAGGTGAGTTGCCAAAAAAAAAAAAAAAAAAAAAACCCAGAACCCAAACAAAAGCTTAAGAAATCTATAAATAACAGTAAAAGATTAGGGGAAAATCACTGACATCTAGATGGATTCTGTACTTGTTCCACAAATCTGTATAAGTTCTTACTCCACTTTATAAAAATCATATCCAGAAAATCACATCATGGGTATCTGTATTCTAGAAAGAAGACTCAGAACTCCATTTAGCAGTCCCTTTATAAATTAAATAGTCTTGGCCCTCTGTTAAAAGTCTAGCAAATCAATGTTTCATGTTTTATATGTGTGAGGTAAAATAAGATGTTTAACATATACGTATTTACTTATTTACTTTTTTGAGACTGGGCCTCACTCTGTTGCCCAGGCTGAAGTACAGTGGTGCAATCATAGCTCACTGAAACCCCTAACTTCTGGGCTTAAGCAGCCTCCTGCCTCAGACTCCCAAGTAGCTAAAACTATAAGTATGTGACACCACACCTGGCTAATTTTTTTTTTTTTTTTTACTTATTACAGATGAGCCCAGGCTGGTCTTGAATTCCTGGGCTCAAGTGATCCTCCCTCCTTGACCTCCCAAAATGCTAGGATTACAGGCATCAACAAAGAGCCCATATGTGTATTTTAAAAATGATTCCACCCAAATTATTTTTGGGGTCTCTCCCAGATGGAGGAAGTTTTTCATACAGTGTTTTACAAATTGACCCAGATATGTTCAGTTGTTTGTTAGACTGAAAAAGAGAAACTGAGGCAGAGAAATCCGTTAATAATTTACCTCCATAGTTTAAATGAGTGCCCGACCTTGGGTGTTAGCAAAGAGAATAGAAAGAATGTATAAAAGAGACTATTAGAAAGAGACCCAGGCCAGTCACATTGGCTTGCACCTGTAATCCCAGCACTTTGGGAGGCTGAGGCAGGTGTATCTCTTGAGCACAGGAGTTCAAGGCCAGCCTGGGGAAGATGGCGAAATCCCGTTTCTACAAAAAATACAAAAAAACTAGCTGAACGTGGTGTTGCACATCAGTAGTCCCAGCTACCTGAGAGGCTAAGGTGGGAGGATCACCTGAGCCTTGGAGATCAAGGCTGCAGTGAGCCCTAACTGTGCCACTGCACTCCAGCCTGGGCAACAGAGTGAGAACCTGTCTCAAAAAAAAAAAAAAAAAAAGAGAGAGAGAGAAAACTAGTTAGACTTGTGATCCTGTTAGCCATAGGGAAAAATGCAATGGAAAAATTGTCAAGATGACTCTGAGGTTTGGGACCTGAGTGATTGAATAGCGTCATTAACAAAAACAGGAAAGCCAAATGTGGGAAGCATTTTTAGGGGCAAAGAAATACTTCAGAAGGGCAAGAATAAGATAAGGACTTAAGTTTTATGCCTGTTAAATTTGATGGGATGATTATATGTCCAAGTGAAAATGCCAAGCATAGAAAGCGTGATTCTATTTCCAACCTCTTCCTCCTATTGTACAGTTTGACATTTACTGAGACTAAAGTAATAGAAAGTGGCCATTTCCACTGTAGCTTCAGGCTGAAAGTACAACAGACACATTTTTAGCATAGTAATGAACAGGAGCTATGCTAGGAAGGGATAAATCTTCACAGGGAAAGGTTTCAGTGCCTTTTAAACGTTCTGTCCTTGAGATCAGATCATCCTAAGGGCTTTTCTTTTCAACTCTCAATCAGAAGCAGTCCCAAATACATATAGTAGTCCCCTCTTATCCAGAGAGGAGGTGTTCCAAGGCCCCTAATGGATACCTGAAACCATGAGTGGTACTGAACACTATACATAGTCAGCCCTCCATTTCTGTGGGTTCTGCAACTGTGGGCTTAACTAACCATGGATTGAAAGTATTTTTTAAAAAACTTTAAGTAATTCTCTTACTGAAGAAAATTTTGAAACTAGTTTTATTTACCAACAATCACTAAAGTCACATGAACTAAAAGGCATTTGAGCTAGCTTCTATTTTTCTAATAAAATATTGGATTCAAGCCCTTGGCTTTTAAACCAGTTGATTAGAGCTCTTTCATATAATCTGGTAGTGAAATACTACATACACATGACATATATAAACATATAGGCGTACACACACAGACAAAAGCATATCTTATAGACTTATAAGATTTTTCATTTGCCAGTTCTCAAATAGTTTCTCCCCTGCTTTAGACTATCATCAGTCATTTCCAAACACATGGCTCTTAGGTGAAACAAGATAGAAAACATACATCTCATAAGCACAGAACTTAGACCTAAACACCATTATCTGAAGACAAGATTGCCAGGAATTGTCATCTTTTCAACTTAGTTTGTTTTGTTTGTTTGTTTGTTTTGAGATGGAGTCTCATTCCATCACCAAGGCTGGAGTTCAGTGGCGCTATCTCGGCTCACTGCAACCTCTGCCTCCTGGGTTCAAGCAATTTTCCTGCCTCAGCCTCCTGAGTAGCTGGAAATAAAGGCGTGTACCACCAAGCTCGGCTAATTTTTGTATTTTTTTGTAGAGACGGGGTTTCACCATGTTGGCCAGGCTGGTCTCGAACCCCTGGCCTCAAATCATCCATCCACTTTGGCCTCCCAAAGTGCTGGGATTACATGCGTGAGTCACTGCACCTGGCCTCAACTTAGTTTGTTTTTTAATTAGATTTCTGGCTTTAAGGTGGAGCCCTTTAGTGAATATGGGTGAGTAAATATGCAGACTTTAGGGCCTAAACCATGCTTTTTAAATGTGAACACAGGTAGCTCCCTGTGGTAATGACCATGTATAAATATCATCAGCCCCTCCTAGCACTGCAGCTCTTGCTAAAACCACCAGCCAAAATACATGAAGGTCAAGTCCTCTCACTGCACAAAGTAATCTCGGGTTCCCCTCAAAGCCAAAAAGATCAGGTAATGCAATACAAAAGAGAGAAGAGTTTTAGATCTCGGCGGAACTTGCCTGTAACTCTTGAAATTTAGGAAGAAAAGCAGAAGACCCCTAAAAAGGGGATGAATTGTGCCTTTTTCTGAGTTCCTTGAGGGGTCTGAGTCATTAGGAGTTGACATAGTTTGGATGTGTGCCTAGCCCAAATCTCATGTTGAAATGCAATTGCCAGTGTTGGAGATGGAGCCTGGTGGGAGGTGATTGGATCACGAGGGCGTTTCTCATGAATGGTATAGCACCATCCTTTGGGTGCTCTCCTTGTGGCAATGAGTGAATTCTCATAAAATCTGGTCATTAAAAAGTGTGTGGCACCTCCCCTCTCTCTTGGTACTGCTTTCACCACGTGGTGTTGTTATAAATAAACTTTTGGTGCCGCAAAAGAAATAGCACTCGAATATAAAATTTTACTTTCAATTCTCAGCAAGGCAAGTTACTTCTATAGAAGGGTGCACCCTTACAGATGGAGCAATGGTGAGTGCACACTTGGACAAGGGAGGGGAAGGGGTTCTTATCCCTGACGCATGTGTGGCCCCTGCTGCTGTGTCGTTCCCCTATTGGCTAGGGTTAGACCGCTAATTTAAAGAGAGTGACGGGGTGAGTGGTTTGGTGGGAAAAATGGTTATGACAGAGCATGTAATCGGAATGTATCAGGGTGGAGTAGGTAATAGGAATGAATCAGGGTGGAGCAGGTAATCGGAATGAGTCAGGGTGGAGCAGGTAATCAAAAAAGGTTGCTTTAACAGGAAGTTAAGTTTAAAAGTAGAAGGCAAAAAATTGAACATACTAACATATTGATTCTTTGGAAAGAAATTGAGAACTCATATCTAACAGTGTGACTGCTCCCCCTTCACCTTCTGCCATGATTGTAAGCTTCCTGAGGCCTCCCCAGAAACAGATGTTGCTATGCTGCTTGTATAGCCTGCAGAACTGTGAGCCAATTAAACCTTTCTTTATAAATTATCCAGTCTTAGGTATTTCTTTATAGCAATGTGAGAACAGACTAATACAGCAGTCTTCTCTAGATCCTTCCATGTGGTATTGGAGATGACAAAAAGGAAGAAGTAGGGAGGAATAAAAATAAATGAGATAACTTGATTTTTATTTTTATTTTTTTTTTGAGATAGGGTCTTGCTCTGTACCCCAGGCTGGCATGCAGTGGTGTGATCATAGCTCACTGCAGCCTTGAACTCCCAGGCAAGCAATTCTCCCACCTTAGATATTGGCTTTTAATTAAGCTGACTTCTAATCAGAGAGCTCTTAAAAAAAAAATTCTTTCAAATCTCTTATAATGACTTTTTGGCCAGGACAAACAGTTGATATTTGTGGCTTTTGAACTTTTTTTTAACCAGCTATATCCTTCCAAGTGAAATCAATAAGTGTTAATCAAGGTTATGACTTAACCAAAGATGCACGAGGCTTCTCCAAAGAGGTTGAAAGCAGTCCTCAGAAGATCAGATGCCCTGATATGGTGTGGGTCTGTTTCCTCATCCAAATCTCAGGTCAAATTGTAATCCCCATTGTTGGAGGTAGGGCTTGGTGGGAGGTGATTGGATCATGGGGGTGGAGTTCTCATGAATGATTTAGCACCATTCCCCCTTGGTATTGTATGGTGAGTAAATTCTTACAAGATCCGGTTGTCTAAAAGTGTGTCACACCTCCCTCACCCTCTCTTTTTTTCTTGTTCCTGCTTGCTTGTTTTCTTGCTTGCTCCCACTCCAGCCATGTAAGATGTGCCTGCTTCTCCTTCACCTTCTGCCATGATTGGAAGTTTCCTGAGGCCTCCCCAGAAGCAGAAGCTGTTAAGCTTCCTGTACAGCCTGCAGAAGCAGAAGCAGAAGCAGAAGCAGAAGCAGAAGCAGAACTATGAGCCAATTAAATCTCTTTTTCTTAAAAATTACAGAGTTTCTGGGGTTTTTTATAGCAGTGCAAGAATGGACTAATACTGAAAATTGGTACGCAGGAATGGGGCATTGCTATAAAGATACCTGAAAATGTGGAAGCCACTTTGGAACTGCATAACAGGCAGAGGTTGGAAAAGTCTGGAGGGCTCACAAGAAGACAGGAAGATCAGGGAACATTTGGAACTCCCTAGAGACTGGTTAAATGGTTGTGACTGAAATGCTGATAGTGATTTGGAAAATAAAGGCCAGGTTGATGAGGTCTCAGATGGAAATAAGGAACTTACTGGGGACTGGAGCAAAGGTCACTTTTGTTATGCTTTAGCAAAGAATTTGGAGACATTGTGGCCCTGCCCTAAGGATCTGTGGAAATTTAAACTTGAGAGTGACAATTTAGGATATCTGGAAGAAGATATTTCTAAGCAGCAAAGTGTTTAGTATGTGACCTGGATGCTTCTAACAACCTATGCTTATATGCATAAGCAAATAAATGACCTGAAACTGGAACTTATATTTAAAAAGGAAGTAGAGCAAAAATACTTGGAAAATTTGCAGCCTGGCCATGTGGTAGAAAAGAAAAACCCATTTTCAGGGGAGGAATTCAAGCAGGCTACAGAAATTTGCATAACTAAAAGGAAGGCAAGTGCTCATAGCCAAGACAATGGGGAAAAGTCCTGAAATGCATTTCAGTCCCTTTCATCACAGGTCCAGAGCCCTAGAATGGTTTCTTGGGCCAGGCCCAGGACCCTGCTGCCCCCTGCAGCCTCATGACACTGTTCCTGGCATCCCAACTGCTGTAGCTCCAGTCATGGCTCAAAGGGGCCCAGGTACAGCTTGGGCCACTGCTTCAGAGGGCCTTGGTGACTTCCACGTGGTGTTAAGCCTGTGGGTGTGCAGATTGCAAGAGTTGAGGCTTGAGAACCTATGCCTAGATTACAGAGGATGTATGGAAAAGCCTGGACGTCCCAGCAGAAGCCTGTTGCAGGGGCAGTGCCATCATAAAGAAACTCTCCTAGGGCAGTGTAGAGGGAAAATGTGGGGTTGGAGCCCCCATACAGAGTCCCCACTGGGGCACTGCCTAGAGGAGCTATGAGAAGAGGGCCACCACCCTCCAGATCCTGGAATGGTAGAGCCAGCAGGAGCTCGATCCCTGTGGCTGGAAAAGCCACAGGCACTCAACGCCAGCCCTTGAGAGCAGCTGCAAGAGCTAAATGCTGCAAAGCCACAGGGGCAGAGCTGCCCAAGGCCTTGGGAGTATATCTCTTGGCACCAGTGTGCCCTGGATGTGAGACATGGGGTCAAAGGAGATTACTTTGGAGCTTTAAGATTTAATTATGGGTCAGGTGCAGTGGCTAACACCTATAAACCCAGCACTTTGGGAGGCCAAGTTGGGAAGATTGTGTGAGGCCAGGAGTTTGAGACCAGCCTGGTCAAAATAGTGAGACCCCCCCCATCTCTATTTAAAAAAAAAGATTTAATGATGACTGTGATTCAGACTTTCATGGGGCCTGTAGCCCCTTTCTCTTGGCTTATTTCTCCCTTTTGGAATGGAAGAATTTACCCTATGCCTGTACTCCCATTATATCTTGGAAGTAACTAACTTGTTTTTGATTTTACAGGCTCATAGGTAGAAGGCACTTGCCTTGTCTCAGATGAGACTTTGGACTTTGGATTTTTGAGTTAATGCTGGAATGAGTTAAGACTTAGGGGGACTGTTGGCAAGGCATGATTGTATTTTGCAATGTGGAAGGACATGAGATTTGGAGGGGCCAAGGGTGGAATGATATGATTTGGATATGTGTCCCCACCTAAATCTGAGGTTGAATTGTAGTCACCAATGTTGAAGGTAAGGGCTGATGGGAGGTGATTGGATCATGGGGTCAGAGTTCTCTTGAATGGTTTAGCACCATCCCCCTTTGGTACTGTATAGTAAGTGACTTCTGTACAGTACTTTGGTACTGTATAGTAAGTGAGATCTGGTTGTTTAAAAATGTGTAGCACTCCCCCTATTCCCCCACATCTTGCTCCTGCTCCAGCCATATAAGTTGTGCCTGCTTCTCCTTTGCCTTTTGCCATGATCATAAGATTTCTGAGGCCTCCCCAGAAGCACAGGCTGCTATGTTTCCTGTATGGCCTGCATAAGTTCTTTCCTTTATTAATTACCCAGTTTCAGGTGTTTCTTCATAGCAGTGCAAGAACAGATTAATACATACCCCAAAGGCAACTCAAAGAAAGGAAAGTTTTGTAATCACCCAAATGGGCTCTTCCTTCTGTTGCACAGACAAAATCAATTCACTGAGACCATGGTATTGCAGTAAAGAAAGAGTTTAATTAAGAGAAGGTTGGCCACATAGAAGAACTAGCATTATCCTTTAAACCAATCTCCCTAAGAACTCAGATCCTAGGGTTTTTATGGATAATTTAGTGAGCAGGGGGCTAGGGAATGGATGCTGTTGATTGGCTGGGGGTGAAATCACAGGGATGTGGAAGATGATCCTCATGCCCTGAGTCCGCCTCTTAGAGGTGGGAGCTACAAGACTAGTTGAATCATGAGTCACAGGTCTGGGTAGGGTCAGTCAGTTGCCAGAATGCAAAAATCTGAAAAACAACTCAAAAGACTACTCCTAGGTTCTACAACAGTGATGTTATCTGTAGAAGCAACTGGGGAAGCCACAAATCTTGTGACCTCTGGCTACATGACTGCTGAGCCATAAGGGATTATAGAAACTATGCCTACATTTTAGCAGAGTTCAGGCCTCTCTCATAATCTCAATCTCAAAGTCTTTCCTTAGTTTTCAGTCTCTGAGCAAGGACGGGTTAGTTTTAGGGAGGGTCTATTATCATTCTTGTTTCCAACTTAAATTATAAATGAAATTCTTCCCATGATTAGCTTTGCCTATGCCCAGGAATGAGCAAAGACAGCCAGCTTGTGAAGCTAGAAGCAAGATGGAGTCAGCCATGTTAGACTTCTTTCACTGTCATAATCTTTGCAAAGGTGGTTTCAGTTTCACCAGCCACAAGTGGAGTATAACTCACATTTCTGTCTAATCATATTCTCTTGGGTCTCAGTTTTTCATAAGAAAAGCCTCATATGCTCCCACAAGTACAAGACAGGGAACCAAAAGCTGTCCATGGAAGGGAAAAGGATCAATAAATGGCAAAAGTCACACAAATATCAAAACAAAAGAAACCGATCCCCTGATCAGAAATTTTAATCACCAGACAACAAAATGGAGCAGCCTTCATTGTTAATCCTGCATGGAATCCTAAGCAGTTTGAGCGTACAGGGATTCTAACTTTGTTTCCGGTCCATTTTTTTGTTCCTTAAATAAGTCAAGAGAATTTTTAAGGCTAGCAATGATGCTGATATGTTTTTTTTTTTTTTTAATTTGATCTTCCTATCGTTCCTAAACATGTAAACTGCTGGAGCCTCTGATGGCAGCTGATCAGAGACTGTACTCTTAGGACTAAGGTTCTCCATTGGTGGGAATATAGGGAATATAAATTAGTTCAACCATTGTGGAAGACAGTGTGGCAATTCCTCAAGGATCTAGAAACCAGAAATACCATTTGACCCAGAGATCCCATTACTGGGTACATATCCAAAGGATTATTTCTTCTATAAAGACACGTGCACAGGTATGTTTACTGCAGCATTGTTCACAATAGCAAAGACTTGGAACCAACCCAAATGCCCATCAGTGATAGACTGGATTAAGAAAATGTGGCATATATACACCATGGAATACTATGCAGCCATAAAAAATGATGAGTTCATGTCCTTTGCAGTGACATGGATGAAGCTGGAAACCATCACTCTCAGCAAACTAACACAGGAACAGAAAACCAAAAACTGCATGTTCTCACTTATAAGCAGGAGTTGAACAATGAGAACACATGGACACAGGGAGGGGAACATCACACACCGGGGCCTGTTGGGGGGTGGGGGGCAAGGGGCGGGATAACATTAGGACAAATACCTAATGCATGCGGAGCTTAAAACCTAGATGCCAGGTTGATAGGTGCAGCAAGCCACCATGGCAAATGTATACCTATGCAGCAAACCTTCATGTTCTGCACATGTATCCCAGAACTTAAAGTAAAAAAAAAAAAGAACCAAGATTTTCCAAACTTCACTAACCTTATGAAGGAGTACCTTTGATTACCTTTCACATGAGTATTCTTACAAAATATTAGGGTCCAGCTGAGTCTGACTGGACTGGGAAACACCTCCCCCAACCCAGGACAGACAGGGAAAGTTTCCTCTGGGGTCAGGATGGAGGGAATCAGGAAGACTGGGAAGACTTTCCCCAAACCTGGGTCCAATAAAGACATTCCCTCTAAGGTCTGGATGGAGGATACCAGGACAGGGACTGAAAAGGAACTGGGAGGAAATAAAAGGAAGATGTGGAGAGAATGTCTCCAGTCTTCAGCCTAAAAAGCAGGAGGTCTTAGATCTGGGGAAACTTACTTGACTTCCTCCCAGCATGGCTGGGGAGACAGCTAAGCTGTAGATGTTGGCGCATTGACTTCAAGTCATGCTGGGAGGACCCAGGGTTCTCTGCAGATTCTATCCACATCTCCCATTATGTCAACTGAAGAAGTGATGAGGTTTATAGATTTGGAAATAAGAGCTTTATTTCTTATAAAAGGAAGCAGCCTGCAGAGTGGCCATTCTGAAAGGCTAGGAAGCATAGCATGCAACCAAAAGCCAAATACAGGCAGTTTAGGAGTAGGAAGGATAAGACAGGAATTTATGCCAGACTGGGTGGCCAAATATAGGTAATCAATAAACTATAGGAGGAGTCATGAATATTTATGACAGGAGAAACATGCACATGTGCAATTGAGCTTCAAACCCCTTCACGGGTCCCATGTTCAAAAAATGGTTGCTTCAGCATGATCCCAGGATGGAGTTTTTGGCTCTCTAATGTCAAAACGTGAAACACAGGACACAAAAACCCTCACTGTGTATCCTCCATTGACAGGCCAGTACCACTCCATAGTTGGTGGTCTCTTATCAGGAAGGAACGCTGGTCAGTAGTGTTGAAACTGCAAAAGGGAGGGGCAGCGGTCAAACAGTTGGTTTACATCAGTGGTGGAGTGAATCTTTCAACAGGGCTGATTTCTATTTAATCCTTAGGGAAGAAAGCCAAATGGCTGCTAGTGAGGGAGGGGTATAATAAGACATGTCCAATCTCCCATTGCGTCATGGCTGGAAACTCAGTTTTAAGGTTTCTTTGGGTTCTTCTTGGCCAAGAGAGGGTCTGTTCAGTTGGTTGTGGGGGCTTAGGATTTTATTTTTCACTACTTACATAGTGTTTATATTAGATTAGGTGAAAGTAATCTAGAGGTGAATTTAAAGTATATGGGAGGATGTGCTTAGATAATATGCACACTCTCCCATATACTTTAAAAATTCATTTTTTTTTTTTTTGAGACAGGGTCTCACTCTGCCACCAGGGCTGGAGTGCAGTGATGTGATCACAGCTCACTGCAACTTAAACTCCTGGGCTCAAATGATCCTCCTGCTTCAGCCTCTCAAGTAGCTAGAACTACAGGTGCACTACCACCATGCCCAGCTAATTTTTAAATTTTATTTTTCTAGAGAAGATGTCTTGCTATATTGTTGAGGCTGATCTCAAATTCCTGGCCTCAAGCAATCCTCCTGCTTTTGCCTCCCAAATGCATGAGGATTTTGCCTCCCCAAAATGCCTATGGGATTATAGGCATGAGCCATAATGCCTAATCAAAAATTTTTTTAAAACCTTACTTTGTTCAGATATTTTTCCATTCTCACTCTGTATTAGTTTGTTCTCACACTGCTAATAAAGACGTACCCCAAACTGGGTAATTTATAAAGAAAGGAAGTTTAATTGACTCACAGTTCTACATGGCTGGGGAGGCCTCACAATCATGGCTGAAGGCAAATTAGGAGCAAAGTCACTTCTCACCTGGTAGCAGGCAGGAGAGTTTGTGCAGGAGAACTCCCATTTATAAAACCATCAGATCTCGTGAGACTTATTCACTACCAAGAGAACAGTATGAGGGAAACCGTCCCCATGATTCGATTATCTCCACCTGGCCCCACCCTTGACATATGGGGATTATTACAATTCAAGGTGAGATTTGGATGGGGACACAGCCAAACCGTATCACACTCCAAACAGCCTCAGTTGATCCAATAACCATAAAGAACCAGATAGTATTAATTTCATAATGTCACTAACTACTATGCTTAGTTGTGAATTTCTGCAGTTTAGATAAAGCAAAAAGTATTTATCTCTATTTTTTCTATGAGATTGAAAGCTGCCTAGAAGGGTTGCATACATTTTATTTCCATTCTATTTTCTTGTACTCCTACTTTTAAAAGCTGTAGCTATTTTTCACTCAGTAAACATTATAGACTGACTCATTCTGGAGTGCAATTCTTGCATTTTTATTTAACAAGAAATGTAAATGACCAGCCAGATATAGTTCTCCAGTCACTAAATAAAAGAAGGAGAATGATCATCTAAGCAGTGTATTTCCAAATAAGAACATGAAGTTTAATATTGGATTTGGAATCTCACTGCAAATTTGAACTATAACCCTGACTCTTTGAAAAACCCAAAGTCAGTTAATTTCTGAGTCTGGGTTCCTATTTTATTTTATAAGAAATGAGCTGTTCTGTGGATTCTTTTTAACATATAAAACCATCTTAAACTACCCTGGGTAAGAAGGTGGGAGCATGACAAATAAGAAGCTCTTCTAAAAGGGAGAAATCTCATTAACTGTAAATACGTAAAATAAATTTCTAAAGATATGTCCCACCTCTGCGTAAGACCTTACTTAAAATGTTACAGAAAGTGCAAAATCAGTATTCATGGGCTCGAAATGCCTCCAATGATCTAACTCCTTAATATGACACATAAGGGAATTTAAACTTCAACAAGTTTTGCTCCCTTTTTATGATGTGGTCAAATGACATTTGGGATATTTCATATTTAGTTCTCAAATGAGTTTATAGGTAGGATAGGGAACGTCTCTCTTTTGAGCCTATGCTGGGGAAGTGTTATTGGTAAAACTGAGTTATATGTAGTGAGTTCTTTCAACAATGAGAACCTTGTACAGAATGTGAGATGGGCTTAAACTCAAATCTGCCTTGTAGGAAACTCCACTGTAGCTTAATAGCAATAAGAAGAGAAGGATTTTCACTAGGCTGCCATTGTGTACACATGAAAAGAAAACTATGTGCAAAGCTAATCGGACCTGGCTATGAAATGCAGAGAAATGATTTATTTGCAGAGGATGATGTCGAATTCTGGGAATAAAATCTCACCAGTAGAGAATAGTAAATGTCCCTTGATTGGAGGTGTTTGGTTTTATTTGAGTTTGAGTGGTGGGTTACCTTGATTAATGCATGTTATGAAGCAAACAGGCTGGGTGTGGTGGCTCATGCCTATAATTGCAAAACTTTGGGAGGCTGAGGTGGAAGGTTTGCTTGTTTCCAAGAGTTTGAGACCAGCCTGGGCAACAGAAGGAGATCTAGTCTCTACAAAAAAATTCAAAAATTAGCAAGGCTTGGTGGTGCGCACCTGTGGTCCCAGCTACTAGAGAGGCTTAGGTGGGAGGATCGCTTGAGCCTGGGAGGTGGAAGGTTGCAGTGAGCTGTGATAGTGCCACTGAACTCCAGCCTGGCTGACAGACCGGACAGACCCTGTCTTGTCTCAAAAACAGAGAAGCACGTTGAGGGAATAAAATATAAGCCAGTCTTGTTTTGTTTTAGAGACGGAGTCTCAAAATCCCATCCTGTCGCCCAGGCTGGAGTGCAGTGGCGCGATCTCGGCTCACTGCCACCTCCGTCTCCGGGGTTCAAGCAATTCTCCTGCCTCAGCCTTCCGAGTAGCTGGGACTACAGGCGCGCGCCACCACGCCCAACTTATATTTATATTTTTTAGTAGATACAGGGTTTCACCATGTTGGCCAGGCAGGTCTCGAATTCCTGACCTCAGGTAATCTGCATGTCTCGGCCTTCCAAAGTGCTGGGATTGCAAGCGTGAGCCACTGTGTATGGCCCAGTCTTGGTTTTATTACTGATTATCTACATAATTTCATTGATCTGTCCCGCTACTCCCCTTTTTTTCCCCAAATACCTTTTAGAATTGAGAGCAGAATATTAAACTTAAGGTAATAACTAATAAAAATGGTTGCTGAGTATATAAATATTTAAATTGACAGGCAATGGAGGAAAAAATTTTAGAATAATGAGAAATAAGGAAATACTTTGTCTTAATATAATTTTTACTACTTATTTTACTCACCCATATTAACATTATAATAAATTTTATTACCTGAGCACATGTTAACTTACGTTGCAGGGAGATAGTCCAGAAACAAAATGGTAGAGTGATGACATCACAAGGGCAAAATGGTTATGGAATGTTCATAGGCTGGGTATGGTGGCTCATGCCTGTGATCCCAGCATTTTGGGAGGCTGAGGCGGGCAGATCACTTGAAATGAGGAGTTCAAGACCAGTCTGGCCAACATGGTGAAAGACTGTCTCTACCAAAAAAAATACAAAAATTAGCTGGGTGTGGTGGCACACACCTGTAGTCCCAGCTACTCTGGGAGGCTGAGGTGGGGGGACTGTTTGAACCTGGGAATGGAGGTTGCAGTGAGCCTGGGTGACAGAGTGAAATACTGCCTCAAAAAAACAAAAAACAAGAAAAAAAAGGGAAGTTCAGCGTGGATTTATGCACAGAAATAATGGAGCATTAGCTATCAGTGCCAGTTGCTGGTATTTCAATTCTTTACTGGGAAACGTATCTACTATTTTGCAACACAGCTGAACAGGTTGAAGAAGATTCTAAATTAATACTTATCTACATCTTTCATAGGATAGAATATGTGAACTATAGAAGCACAGGTCTTGCTTTAAGGCTTCCTGGTGGTTCAGAGTTCTTAGTAAATATGTCTTGAGCCTCCCTTCCAGAAAAGGTTGTTTCCAGGAAGGCAAGTCTGAGAGCCAATGCAGTGAAATGCCTGCTTTGTTCAAGATAATTTCTGGAGGTCGAGATAAATTGGGTGGGTGTGAATATATTTACACAGCAGTCCATTCCAGGGGATGACTCAGAGTTTAGAAGGTTGGTCCTTCAGCCACCCACAGCTGTTTTCCTTGCAACTAAATATTTTAATTCTGATGCTATGATTAGTTGAGCATCTGATACAACACCTGGAAGCCATACTGCTTCCTAATAGCCCACTAGCCATTGAGCTGGTGGTGGGGAAGAGATAGAGGAGTCAAGAATCCCAGCTGCTCACTCTTCTACAGGACAGACAACAACGTACAGAATGCAAAGGAGAAAACTGAATGCCGGAGGCAGGGATGCTCTTTTTTTTTCTTAATAAGTTGATTAAGTATTTGCCAAGATGAAAAGCAGAAGATATTGAAGTTGAGTTCTACCATGGGAAACTTCAAGCCAAATTCAGCTAACAAAATACAAGGTTTTGGCAACATTGCTAAGCATACAATAAATAGTATATTTAATCAATATGTGTTGGCTTATTACTGCCTTTCTGTTTCGTTTTCCTGCCTTTCATCCATTTGTTATTCATTTGGGGGATAGTATCTCTAAGGAAAACTTATTACTATATTGTTTAAAAATAATGTAATAGCTAACTGAATAATCATTTGGGATATTTTTGGAGAAAAATGAGGAAAGAAAGCCAGAATTATCCAGTTCTTGAGAATCAAACAGAAATTAATTTGTATTTAATTGTCTTCTTCCTCTTTTTATTCTTGCTGTAGTTCTGGGAAGGGAGAGTCAACATGATCTAATTGTAAATGAGATTTGATTTGCTGGTTAATGATTATCCATGAAAAAGGAGGCTTTGCCAGGTTTATTCATACCCAAGGTATTTCTGGACAAGAAGCAGTCATAGCCAAAGCCAAGGAGCCTGATGATTAGGGGAAATTCCTCTTCTTTAATCAGATGTAAGGCATAATTATACATGATGTAGGAAAAGCATTTGAAAAGTGAATTGCTCTATGTACCTATCCCTTTATTTATTTCCTTTGCAGGAAACCTCATTGTTTTTAAACAGAGTGAAAAGAAAAGCCAATGTGGAGACAACTTTCTTTGGTTAAACTAGAAATGTGGAATTCTGAAATGTTCATGCCTGGCCTTCTTATTTAAAAAAATGGTTATCCTCCTCCTAGTGACTGATTGTAACAGTAATTTTTCATAAGACATCTTTAGGCTTAAAAACCCCCTTCCAGCATTTGAAGCTGAAAGGTAGAGATTTCTAAGCTCTTTTTATTTTCTTCTTCTTTAGAATTTTAAAAGTCAAACTCATTTTCTAAAGCTTTTTTCTCCAAAGTTCTAAAACTTTTAATGTGTTTTTATTGGTTTCTTACAAAACCCAGGAATGACCTGAGGTTAAAAGTGGTTTGAGATTTATTGCTAATTAGAGCTTAAATCAAGATTTTAGCCTATGTGCTTTTTTTCCCCTTCTAACATAGAAGGAAAAAACTTACATTTCTGAATCATATTTTGCTTTCTGGCATAATAACCAAATGACATTTAGGTATTTAAAAATGATTTTGTGGGTAGCTAGAAATAGCTGTACTGGGGACCAAATTAGGTATGTAATAGGATGAAATGGAATGTCTATGGATATCTATGCTTCTTAATTGATCTCAAACTACTTAAAAGTTAGCTTTTATCTGAGAATGAACATACTCTAATTTATGGCTTTCTCATATCCTTTATGAAGGATATCCTTATCTCTTAAATATTATAATCAATTTGCCCCTCAAAAGTCAGGAAGGTGATGCTGGAGTTAAAACCACTCATTTGTGCAGTAGTCAGACCTCATTGTTTAGTCACCACAGACTTCCGAATTATCACTCTCTACTTGCCATTGTATTAGTCTTTTTATCATGGCATGGGTAATTGACTAGAAATGTACAATGTGAATACAAATTTAAGATCACTATTAAAGATAAACTATTCCCCCTTGTCCTTGGCAAAACTATGCATAATATAATTGAGGCTTTATTTAGTTTTAAAATTCATTTATTTACGACATGAAAGAGAATGAAGTTGGACCTTTACCTTAGGCCATATGCAAAAATTATCTCAAAATGAATCAAATACCTAAATTAAGACCTAGAACTATGAAATTCTTAATCTGAAACCAGAAGAAGTTGGGCACAGTGGTGTGTACCTGTAATCCCAGCTATTTGAGAGGCTGAGGCAGGAGGATCACTGGTGCCTAGGAGTTTGAGCCTGGCCAACACAGAGAGACTCCATTTCAATTAAAACAAAACATAAAAACAGAAAACAGAGGAAAAGCCTCATAACATTGGATTTAATAATAATTTCTTGAATGACTTCACAAGCACAGGCAACAAAAGCAAGTAGATAAATTAGACTTCATCAAAATTAAAGCTACTGTGGATCAAAAGGACATTATGAAAGCAGGGAAAAGGTAACCCACAGAACAGGAGAGAGTATTTGTAAACTGTATCTGATAAGAGGTTAGTATCCAGAATTTATAAAGACCTCCTATGATATAACAATAACAAAAACCCAAATAATCCAGTTTTAAAATGGGCAAAAGGTTGGGTGCAGTGGCTCACATCTGTAATCCCAGCACGTTGGGAGGCCAAGGCAGGAGGTTCACTTGAGCCCAGGAGTTTGAGACCAGCCTGGGCAAGATGGCAAGACTCTGTCTTGAAAAAAATAAATAAATAAAATAAAATAAAATAAAAATGGGCAAAAACTTGAATTGACATTTCTACAAAGAAGATATATAAATTGGCCAATAAACAAATTAAATCATCGTTTGTTTGCTCATCATTAATAATTAAGGAAATTCCAATTAAAACCACAATGAGCTACCACTTTATGCCCATTAAGATGACTACAATAAAACAAACAAGCAAATAACAACAACAACAAAACAAACCCCTAAAAGTAGCAAGTCTTGGCAGGGAGAGAGAGAAATTGGAATCCTTGTGCATTGCTCGTGAAAATGTAAAATGGTGTGGTCACTATGGAAAACAGTGTAGTGGTTCCTTAAAAAGTAAAAATAAAATTACCACATAATCCAGCAATTCCATTTCTGAGTATATACCCCCAAAAAATTGATAGCAAAGAGAGACTTGAACAGACACTTGTACACCAATGTTCATAGTAGCATGATTTACAATAGCCAAAAGGTGGAAGCAACCCAAATGTCCATCAATGACTAAATGGGTAAACAAAATGTAGTATATACATACGATGAAATATTATTCAGCTTTAAAAAGGGATGAAATTATAACAGATGCTACATCATGGGTGAACTGTGAAGATATTATGCTATGTGAAATAAGCCAGATAGAAAAGGAAATGTATGATTCCATTTACATGAGGTACTTAGAATAGTCAAATTCATAAGGAAGGAAAGTAGAATGGTGGTCACCAGGGGCTGAGAGAAGGAGAAATGGGGAGTTTCTGCTTGATGGGTGTAGAGTTTCACTTTGGGGTCATGAAAGACTTCTGGGGATGCATGGTGGTGATGATTGCACAACAATGTGAATGTACTTGATGCCACCGAACACTTAAACATGGTCGAAATGCTAAATTTTATGTATATTTTACTGCAATAAAAATGCATTTTTATATATTATTAATTTGGATTTTACTAAAAGCAGACACTGTGAGACAAGAATTTGAGAGTAATTAGTTTATTTGGTATTGAAATAGGTTTTGCAAAGATTACGACAGTGAGAGAAATCTAACATGGCTGACTCCATCTTGCTTTTGGCTTCACAGGCTGGCTGTCTTTGATCATTCTGGGCATAGGACAAGCTAACTATGGGAGGAATTTAGTCTATAGTTTAACTTGAAAGCAAGGATGATAGTAGCCCTTCCCTGGAACTAACCACTCCTTGCTCAAGGGTGGAAAACTAACAAAAGGCCATGAGGCTAAGATTATAGAAGGCCCTGAAGTCTGCTAATATGTAGGCGTAGTTTCCATAATCATTTACTGCTCAGGAGTCATGTAGCCAGAGGTCACAAAATTTGTGACTTTCCCAATTGCTCCCAAAGATAACATGACTATTGTAAAACCTAAGAGTGGTCTTTTGAGATATTTTTCAGGTTTTTGCACTGCAGCAACTGACTGACCCTACCAGACCTGTGACTCATGACTTAACTGGTCCTGTGACCCCCACCTCTCAGAGGCTGACTTAAGGCTTGAGCACCATCTCCCACACCCCAATAATTTCACTTCCAACCAATCAGCTGTATCAATTCCCTAGCCCCCTGCCCACCAAATTATCCATAAAAACCATAGGGTCTGAGTTCTAAGGGAGACTGATTTGAGTGATAGCTCCACTTCTTCTGCCTGGCCAGCTTTTTGTTAATTAAACTCTTTCTTTACTGCAATACCATGGTCCCAGTGAATTGGTTTTGTCTGTGCCGCTGGCAGGAAGAACCTGTTGGGTGATTACAGTATCTCAAGAAATACTGTTAGTGAGTGGGCAAGAGAGGCAAGGAATTGAAGACTAATAAATGGTCTGTGTTATCAAGCCAGTTACTGTAATGGACAATTGGAACTTAATCCAGCTGGCAACTCTGGAGATCCAGAATAACACAAACCTCAGAGCTATTTCCTCAGTGGGGTGAATGAGCTGAAGTCTTGCCTCACCAGTTCCCATCAGTCATTTTTTAAGGAATACTTCCCAGATATCTGTTCATTTCCCTAAGCCTGGTGCAGCAAAGTGCACTCCAGTGGTCAGAGAAAATCTTTGGGCAAAGGGACCCTGATGCTGGCAGGTGGACATCATAAAGGCTGAGACATTGGCAGCATCTACCTTTATTTATTTATTTATTTATTTTTTACAGACAGGATCTTTCTCTGTCACCTCTGCTGGTGTGCAGTGACATGATCACAACTTACTGCAGCCTTGACTTCCTGGATTCAAGCAATCCTCCTGCCTCAGCCTTCCTAGTAGCTGGGACAACAGGCATGTGCCACCATGCCTGGCTAATTTTTTTATTTCATTTTATTTCTTTATTTTTTGTAGAGATGAGATCTTGTTGGGTTGCCCAGGCTTTGATAATATATTTAATTTAGACTTTTTTCTCTCTACTAATTCAAACCAGACCAGCATTAATTAATTTAAATTGGAAAATATTTCTTGATTATGCAGATCTTGAATAGCATACTATAGAACATATGGAATGTGCAGTATATATTAGACATCATGCCATACCCTTCCTGTGACTGCCCGTGTCTCTAGCCTGTAGCATGGTCAGCTTTGGACCAAGTCTTCACTTTGCAATGGACTCTTCATCCCCCACTCTAGTAAGAAAGAGCACACAATGGCCTTTCTTTTTGAGGAAGAAAAACTTGGGTGGAAAATCTGGGTTTTCTTCCAAATGTCATTAAATATCATTTAATTCATTTTGTATCCTCAAACATTCCACATATATCAACAGCTTTTCCTGTAAATATTAAATAAAAGGAGGTAAGAAAAAACAGGAGGCAATGGCAGTGGAGAAATCTCTTGGAGGAAAGCTGAGAGCACAGTCCCCGTGACTGAGAGTTTCAGAGGGTTGGCAGAGCCATGAAGAACAAAGTGAAACTGTGGCTGTCGAGCAGTGAGAATGATCAAGGCTTTTATTTACATTCCAGTGAAATCTAGGGACAACTCTCATTGTGCGACTATTTATGGTGGAATTGTTTGAAACTTTGCAACTTTCTCTTTGGTGTTTTTACCCACTTCCTGTTTCTTGTTGTGATTAACAGTAAAACGAAACCTAATCACACAAAAAGCTTTTAGGAAACCATAAACCGGTAATATGGTTTCAAGGTGATCTTGGGGTCACATAAATTCTTCTGATGCCTCGGGCGCTGGAGAAGATGAAAATCTTTATGGAAACACCACTGAAAATGGAAGCCGATGGTCCCACCTCAATAACAAGGGAATAAGGAGCTTACCACACCTTTTATCCTTGACACCCATTGGGCTACAAGTTTCCAGTCTGGCTTACAGCTGAAGAAATTTCCACCACGTAGACAATGGGAAGACAAGAAAATGGTCTGTTGGCATGCTAAGTTGAAATCAAAACCTTCTCCATGGAAACGTTTTGAAACGTTATGTTTAGATTCTAAGGTGCTGACAGTAAAGTTGCAGTTTAAAGAGGTTTTATGGTCTGAAGACGGTAAATAGTAAATGCCTTACCATTTCTCGCTTTTGAGACCTAATCCATTTTTATGTCAAGAAATTCCGTATATGTAAGATTTAGTGAGTGCAAAGAATGTCAGCAACCATTGTGGAGATTTTGCATTCTGTCTGCCTGCCTGGCTTGTATTCTTAGATGCACGTATACATTTAAACATGTATAAACTTATACATGCCCTTCCTGAGGTAAGAATACTTGACTGAAAACTGTGGTATATAGGAATAAGTTATTCAAACTAATTGTGTACTTAATCCTATACAACCCTTTTCTCTCATCTCAGAAGAGGACTGTCTTGGGTTGGTGTTGCCATCTAGTGGCCAATATGGGAAACTGGCAAATGCATGACTTCTTCCTTTTCCTTCTTTCTTCCTCTCTCATTAGCGTGAAGAACTTGGTATACACCCGACCTTCTTTCAGATACTCATCATGAACAGCTTAGCAAAAGCCTCTAAAGATAATGTCTTTCTTACACAGATGGATAGACACAACACACACACAGACAACACACACACACAGACAACACACACACACAAACTCTCTCTCTCTCTTTCAAGCCCCTTTCACTTACAACCTTCCCTCCCAACTGTTGCTAATTGTATCTGTCTGGGTCTCCCACAAGGCAATTTTGTCATCTGCATTCTCTCTCCTTCTTGTTGTTGTTAATTTGTGAACCCCTTCACTCAAATTAATAAAAGCCGTATTTTTTTTATTTTTTATTTTTTGTGAGGCAGAGTCTCTCTTTGTCACCCAGGCTGGAGTGCAGTGGCACAATCTCAGCTCACAGCAACCTCCACCTCCTGGGTTCAAGTGATTCTCCTGCCTCAGCCTCCTGAGTAGCTGAGATTAGAGGCATGCACCACCATGCCCAGCTAATTTTTGTGTTTTTAGTAGAGACACGGTTTCACCATGTTGGCCAGGCTGGTCTTGAACTCCCGACCTCAGGTGATCTGCCCGCCTTGGCCTCCCAAAGTGCTGGGATTACAGGCATGAGCTACCACATCTGGCCAAAAGCCATATGTTTTCCGAAGTAATTGGACACGCTGAAACTAATGTTGTAAACTTTAAAACTTTTGTGGAGCCCCAGAAGTGTCCTTTTAGAATCTCTAAAAGGTTTACAGGGAGTTCCTTCTTACCTCTCAATTAGATAGAGCTGCTTTTGTCAATTGCCAGTATTTAAGGCAAAATTTTAAAATCACTTAATGTATTTGTACTTGCTTACATTTGCCAAAGTAAAACTGGTAGGGCAAGCCAAAAACTAATAAAAATGATTTTCTGTGGGGATGGGAGAGAACGGGGTCTAGGACAGGAATAGAAGAGAGACTTCTCTGTTTATAGTTTGTTTTTAAAGATAGCTTTTTTGGTGAATAAAATTCACTCGTTTAAAGCTTACAACTCAGTGATTTTTATTTTTATTTATTTATTTTTTAGAGACAGCGTCCCCTCTGTTGCCCAGTGGAGTACAGTGAAGTGATCATAGCTCACTGAAGCCTCAAACTTCTGGGATCAAGTGATCCTCCTGCCACAGCCTCCAGAGTAGCTGGAACTACAGGCATGCACCACCACACCAGGCTAATTTTTATTTTTATTTTTGTAGAGATGAGGGCTCACTATGTTGCCCAGGCTGGTCTTGAATTCCTAGCCTTAAGCCATCCTCTTGCCTTGGCTTCTCAAAGCATTGGGATTACAGGTGTGAGCTACCATGTGTGGCCAATTCAGTGACTTTTTAGCAGACTTATAAAGTTATATGACCATCACTACAATCTAATTTTAGAACATTTTCTTCAGCCCAAAAAGAAACTTTGCCCTCACTTACAGTCACTTCCCATTCCCACCCCATGCCTCAAACTCCTGGGCTCAAGTGATCCTCCCACCTCAGCCTCCTGAGCATCTGGGACCACAAATGTGTGTTACCACACCTGGCTAACTTTTATAAAATAATGTTTTTTGTAGAGATGGAACCTTGCAATATTGCCCAGGCTGGTCTTGAACTCCTGGCCTCAATCAGTTCTCCCACCTCAGCCTCTCAAAGTGCAGGGATTACAGGCATAAGTCACTGTGCCCAGCCAATAATAATGTTTTAATATCGGCCTATTAATTGTAAGAAATATACCATACGAATGCAAGATGTTAATAACAGAGGAAATTAGTAAATGAGATATATAGAAACTCTCTGTCCTATCTTCACAAGTTTTCTATGACTCAAAAAGTATTCTGAAATCAAAAGTTTATTTTAAAAGCCTATCTTTCCTCCATTGAATTGCTTTTTTATTTTTGTCAAAAATCAACCAGGCATATTTATTTAGGTCTTTTTCTGAGTGCCTTTTTCTGGCCCATTGATATATGTGTCTATACCTCTGCCATTACCACACAGGTTTGCTTACCGTTTTTATATAATGTCTTGAAACTGGGTAGACTGATATTTCCCACTTTATTCTCCTTTTTCAAAATTGTTTTAGCTAGTCTAATTTCTTTGCCTTTCCATAAATTTTAAAACAGTTTTGTCTAAATCTATTTAAAAAATCTGGTTAGGCTATTGATAGGATTTGCTATTTGTGTATCAATTTTTCTACCTGTTCAAATGGGGAGAAGCAACATCTCTATTATATTGAGTCTTTTAATACATGAACATGATATGTCTCTCCATTTATTTAGATATTCTTTGATTTCTTTCATTAGCATTTTGTAGTTTTCAGCATACAAGTCCTGTCTTGTCTGTTAGATTTATACTTAAGCATCTTATTTTGGAAGAGCAATTGTCAATGGTACTGTATTTTAAAAATTGGTATCCATGTGTATAATTGATTTTTGTATCTTTATTTTGTATCCTATGATGTTGCTGAACTCATGTATTAGTTTAAGGAGGACTTTTTTGTGTGTGTAGATTCCTTGGGATTTTTCTACGTAGAGCATCATGTCATCTGCAAATATGAGCTGTTTTATTTCTTCCTTTCTAATCTGTATGCCTTTTATTACCTTTTGCTTTGGCTAGAGCTATATCAAATAAGTGAGGTGAGAACAGATATTCTTGCTTTGTTCCCTGTCATAGGCAGAAAGCATTAAGCCATTCATTAAGTATAATGTTAAGTGTAGTTTTTTTTTTTCTTTTTTTTTTTGACATGGAGTTTCACTCTTGTTGCCCAGGTTGGAGTGCAATGGCGAAATCTTGGCTCACTGCAGCCTCCACTTCCCAGATTCAAGCACTTCTCCTGCCTCAGCCTCCTGAGTAGCTGGGATTACAGATGCCTGCCACCACATCTGGGTAATTTTTTTTGTATTTTTAGTAGAAACGGGGTTTCGCCATGTTGGCAAGGCTGGTCTTGAACTCCCAGCCTCAGAAAGTGATCCGCCTGCCTCGGCCTCCCAAAGTGCTGGGATTAGAGGCGTGAACCACCGCACCCAACCAAGTATAGTTTTTGTAGATGCTCTTTATCAAGTTGAAAAGGTTTCCCTCCACTCTTATTTTTCTGAGGGTGTTAAATTATTGTGAAGTGTATTTTTTGAATCAATTGATATGATCATGTTATTTTTCTTGCTTAACCTGTTAATATGATATTATATTAATGGATTTTCCAATGTTGCACCAACCTTACATCCCTGGAATAAACTCCAATAGGTCATGATGTATAATTCTTTTCATGTGTTGCTATGTTCTATTTGCTAATGTTTTCATAAAGAGTTTTGTGTCTGTATTAATAAGGGATATTTGTTTGTAGTGTTCTGTTTAATACTGTTTTTGTCTTATGTTGCTATCAGGTAATACTCATTTCATAAAATAAATTGGGAAGTGTTTCCTCTTTTAGTTCTGAATGAGATTGTATAGAATTCGTGTCAAGTCTTTAAATGTTTGGTAGAATTTTTCAGTGAAAATAGAGTTTTTTTGGGGGGAGATAATTAAGATTTAATTTTCTTAATAGTTACAGGGCTATTTAAGTTCTCTATTTTGTATTGGGGTAGTTAGGGTAGTTTGTGTTATTTAATGGTCCATTTCATCTAAATTGTCAAATTTATATGTGTAGAGTGGTCTGTAGTATTCCCTGGTTATCCTTTTGATGTCTGAAGGGTCTGTAATTCATACCCTTGTTTCATTCCTGATGTTGGTAATTTGTATCCTTTCTCTTTGTTTCTTTGCCTGTCTTGCTAGAGGATTGTCAATTTTATTGATCTCTTCAAAGAACAAGCTCTTTTTTTCATTGATTTTCTGTATTATTTTTTGTTTTTAATTTCATGGATTTCTGTTCTTATCTTTATTATCTCCTTTCTGCTTGCTTTGAGTTTATTTATTTTAATTTTTATTTATTTATTTTTTAGTGTAACTTTTTTTTTTTTGTGAGATGGCGTCTCGCTCTGTCACCCAGGCTGGAGTGCAGTGCCGCGATCTCGGCTCACTACAAGCTCCGCCTCCCGGATTCACGCCATTCTCCTGTCTCAGCCTCCCGAGTAGCTGGGACTACAGGCGCCCGCCACCATGCCCGGCTAATTTTTTGTATTTTAAGTAGAGATGGAGTTTCACTGTGTTAGCCAGGATGGTCTTGATCTCTTGACCTTGTGATCCGCCCGCCTGGGCCTCCCGAAGTGCTGGGATTACAGGCGTGAGTCACCACGCCGGGCCTTAATTTTTATTTTTTTTGAGATGAAGTCTTGATCTGTCACCCAGGCTGGAGTGCAGTGGCATGATCTCGGCTCACTGTAACCTTTGCCTCCCGGGTTCAAGTGATTCTCTTGCCTCAGCCTCCCGAGTAGCTGGGATTACAGGTGCGTGCCACAATACCCCAGCTAGTTTTTGTATTTTTAGTAGAGATGGGGTTTCACCCTGTTGGCCAGGCTGGTCTCAAACTCCTGACTTCAAGGGATCCGCCTGCCTCGGCCTCCCAAAGTACTGAGATTACAGGCGTAAGCCACCAAGCCCAGTCGTTGCTTTGGCTTTATTTTGTTTTTTATTTTTCCCTAGGTCTTTTGAATTTTGGGGAAAAATTTTAATATATTAAGTTTTGGCCATTAAGGGCTTAAATAATGTTGAATTATAATTAGCTGCACAAGTAAATCTGTGGGTTTCTTTTTTTCTGCCTCACTTCAAATCAGCCTGATAAGGAATGTATCTTTCTCCAAACATTCCTCATTTTGCAGGTTCCCATTCCCAGAGTTAGCTTAGAGATTTTTCTAATTGAGGAGGTAGCTTAGAGATTTTTCTTTCCTAATGTATGTTTTGAGATTTTCCTCTTTGCTGATGTGTGGATTTAGTCTATAAATTTCCCTCTCGGCATTGCTTTAACTGTATCTTACACATTTTGATATGTTGTATTTTCATTTTTATTCGGTTGAATTAAAAAAAATTCTCTTTAGAATTCTTCTTCATACAAGTATTATTTAGAAGTGTGTTGTTTAGCATTTAGATGTTTGGCGATCTTTCTGCTATTATTCTGTTATTGATTTCTAGTTTGATTCTATTGTGGAGAACACACTCTATATAATTTTAATTGTTTTACATTGCCAAATAGTATTTCACTGAAAGAATATACCACATTATGTTTATCCATTCATCAGCTGATGAATGTTTGCATGTCATATGGTAGTGAATTTGGAATCATGTAAATGTTTTACGAATTCTAAAAGAAAAAGAAAAAAGTAATTTCTAAAATTTAAAACATTTTAGAAATTCCTAAATTCCTAAGTTCCTAAATTTGTTGTGGTGAGGGTTGCACAACTTTACATTAAAAAACATTAAATTGAGTAAGTTGTATAGTATATGAATTCCTTATCAATAAAGCTGCTATGAAAAAAGTGGAGTGGGATATAGGAGATCACACCTGCAATCCTAGAGCTTTGGGAGGCCAAGGTGAAAGGATTGCTTGAGGCCAGCTTGAAGTTTGAAACTAGACCAGGCAACACAACAAGACCCTGTCTCTACCAAAAAAAAAAAAAAAAAAAAAATTAGCTGAGTGTGGGTTGCTTGCCTGTATTTCCAGCAATTCTGGAGGCAGAAGTGGGAGGATCACTTGGAGCCCAGGAGTTCAAGGCTGCTGTGAGCTAAATTTTTGTTTATGTTAAAAATTATTTACAAAATTATCTTGGGCCAATGTATAATATCTGGATTCCTGCTAGAATTCAAAGAGCTCAAAACTTTGCGAAATTTTAAAGCAGGATGTGTTATTCTATTTTGGGGACTCTGTTATCTGCCATTAATCCACATGTCTATTTTTACCAAGATGTCAAATCTTAGGGATTTATTATGACCTCAGAACTGAAGTGCTAGTAGAAAGTTAGCTTTTTAAAACATGCAGCTTGTGGAAGATGCATGACTAAGGAAATAACTAAATCTCTTAAGATAACAATTTTCAGATGATTCTACATCCCCCAGAATCTCTTATCTGATTTAAGTTCCTTAGTAAATCAAAATATTTGTTCTTAGGTTGACAACAAACTTGGAGGGTTTCAACACATGAGATCTTAAATAGCTCTGGGACACTCCAGATTATGTGAAGCAAAACAAAACAAGATAAAAAATAACTACAATGTCCCCAGGGTGTTATAAAATTATAAAAGGAGCTTTTATTTGCTTAGTTATATATTTCTGACTAACCCTATTTACAGAAATAATTCTGAAAGCAGCATTTATGACCTGCTGAGACATCATACAAATATGACTCAAGTATTATGCCAAAGGCTCTTGATTTCAGTTTGTTATCAGGAATTTAAGTGCTTTTTAAAAATTTTTTCTTGGCAGCTATTGCTCTTGCTGATACCATCATGGCTGCCATCTCTTCCACCTGCTCCTCCCTCTTGATTAAGTTGTGTGTGTGTATGATTTGAGGAGATGGTGAAAGCAAAGCATTGTGCTGGGTCCCCTTAATAACAGCTTAGTAACAAATACAAGGCATCTTTATCCTAGATGGAGTTTCATGGACCTCCTGTCTGTTGTGCTCAATGTAATCTAAAAAAGTATTCTTGAGGAAGCTTAGGAACATGTCTTAGGCATTCACATGTTTAATAATTAACTCTCTTCCTCTTCTCTACACCCATATGACAAAGCAAAATTTGTAAATCATTTTAACTGAGTAATTGAGAATGTATGTAAGACATTCTTAAGTGACATAGGCCTTGCTCTGTCTCTCCACAGAGCTCCTAGGTAGGATCACCATAGAAAGCGCCTTGTTAGATTCCATCCTCATCTGTTTTTTCCTGCTGTAACCAAATACCACAGACTGGACAATTTATAATGAACAAAAATTTATTGGCTCCCAGTTCTGGAGGCTATGAAGTCCAAGACTTAGGGGCCAGAATTTGGCAAGGGTCTTCTTGCTATGTCATTTCATGGCAGAGGGCAAAGCGATGGCAAGAGATAGAGAAAGGGGTCAAACTCATTTCATAAGGAAGCCACTGCTGTGATAACAAACCCACTCTCATGATAATGGCATTAAAAAATTCATGAGGGTAGAGCCTCATGACCTAATCACCTCTTAAAGATCTCCCCTCTCAACATCTCTACACTGGGGATCAAGTTACCAACAGGTGAACTTGGGGGTCACATTCGAACCATAGTCAATCCCTATGACCTAGAGTGTATATGGTCCTTAGGAATGGAGACTGAGCAGGTGATATTAATTAGTAAGCAAAGTATTTGAATGTCTCTTAAAGATTGGCATTTCTTAGTATTTTCCTGCCACCTTCTTTCCCTCAGCACATTCATTTTAATAGTTTCAGTATCTATCTATATGTTGATGACTGTCAATTATATAATTTCAATGCAAAACTCTTTCCTGAGATACAGATTTATATAATCAAATAACTATTCGTCTTAGTTAGTTTGGGTTACTATAATAAAAATGCCATAGAATAGGTGGCTTAAACAATTTAAATTTATTTCTCACAGTCCTGGATACTGAGAAGTCCAAGATCACTGTGACAGTCTATTTGGTGCTGTTAGGACCTGTCTCCTGGCTTGCAGATGATCACCTTCCTGGTGTATCCTCACATGAGACAGAGATCATCTGTCTTGTCTCTTTTTTTTTTTTTTTTTTTTTTTTTTTTTGAGACAGGGTCTTGCTCTGTTGCCCAGGTTAGAGTACAGTGGTGTAATCATGGCTCACGGCAGCCTTGATCTCTCAGGCTCGGATGATCCTCTTGCTTCAGCTTCCCAAGTGGCTGGGACATGGCCATGTGCCACCACACCTGGCTAATTTTTTGAAATTGTTATTTGTAGAGATGAGGTCTCCCTATATTGCCAGGCTGATCACAAACTCCCGGCCTTATATGATCCTTGCATCTTAGCCTTCCAAAGTGCTGGGATTACAATGTGAGCCACCATGGCTGGCATCTGTTTCTTCTTATAGGGACACCAGTCTCATTAATGAGGGCTCTCCCTTCATGACCTAATTATCTTTGAAAGGCCTCACCTTCAAATAGGGAATTAGGCTTCAACATATGAATTTTGAGGAACACAAACATTCAGACCCTAGCATTGTTAGACAGCTCATCTTGGATATCATGTAGCAACCCTACAGAATTTATCATTGCTTTCCTTCCTTCCCAAAGTGCTAATGCTTTAGAAGGTGTTTCTTATCCTACTAGATGACACAACCATCCACTCAATTTCTCAAAGCAGATATCAGAATTTACATCTTCTTTCCTGCATCATTTCACCACCATATACATCCATTCACTTTCTTCCTCAATATATCCAGAATTCATCTAATTCTTTTCATGTCTGCTGCCAGTGCCTTTATCTTCACTGCCACTCTAAACGTCTTCTTAGACTTCTCCTGGCCTCTGGTCCTGCCCCTTTCTACTTTCTAACTGCAGTTAGAAAGGTCTTTCTAAAACACAAATTTCGTCCCCCGCTTGGCCTCTCCCACAGGTCCTTTATTGCCTTCTAAATAAACATCCACTCTGGGATCTGAAATTCTCACTGCCCTTTACGCTGTCTGGCCCTCTGCCCAGTTTCACCCACCTCACTCTTAACCTTAAGGTTTGAATCTACTACTTCCTTTGGGAAACATTTCCTGAATTCCTCAGACCAGGTGAGCTACTCTTCTGTTCCCACAGCTTGTCGTACTTATCCTTTATAACACTCATACTATTTTATGTTTACTTGTCTGTCTTCTTTATTAGACAAGTTCCTTGTTATAGGGAACTTTGTCCAGTTCAGCATTGCAATACAACTACCCAGTAGGTGTTCTGTAAATATTTATTAAATGAATGACTAAACGGATCCACCTCAACAAAATCATCAGCATGATAAATAGTATGCGTTTGTACCCTATAGCTACAGCATAAAACATGAAATAGGAAAATTTTACCAGTATGATTTTGTGATGCTGAAGAACAGAATTGTGAGCCATGAATGGCAACATATGATTCTTGCTATACTCAGAAAGAATTGAAATGAAGCATACAAAGCATATGGGATGATTTATACATTCATTAACAAACAAGTAATGAGGCCCTACTGCGTGCCAGGCCTTGTAAGGGCCTTTGGAAGTATGAAGACGAGTAAGACCTGGTGACTGTTCAGCAGGAGTTCAAAGTTGAGTGGATGATAGATTCATAGAACACTAAAGCTGGAGGAAACAGAAAGGAAATTCAATCTAGCCCCCGGATTTTACAAAGACATGGATGATTTCTACAATGCCTTCCAAATTACTCAATAATTATATAAAAAGAAAATGTTTTTCCTTTAAACACCAACACTTTTCCCCACCTCCAATTAATCTGTGTCCTTAAAAAGGAGCACTGTATCAGTGCGATTGAGATCACAGCCAACATAAGCTCATCTTAGAAGGAAAAAAAAATGTATGATTTGTCAAAGCTGCCTGGAAGGGAAAATTTCTGTTTAAAATCCTGGCATTGGGCCAGGTGCGGTGGCTCATGACTGTAAGCCCAGCACCTTTGGAGGCCGAAGTGGGTGGATAGCTTGAGCCCAGGAGTTTGAGATCAGCCTAGGCAACACGACAAAACCCAGTCTCTGCAAAAAAAATAGAAAAAATTAGCCAGGCATGGTGGTGCATGCCTGTAGGCCCAGCTACTTGGGAGGCTGAGGCAGGAGGATCACTCGAGCCTGGAAGGTTGAGGCCTCAAGGAGCTGTGATCACGCCACTGTTTGCACAATAGAGCAAGACCCTGTCTAAAATAAAATAAAATAAAATAAAAATCCTGGCATCATAAATGCTTTAGGAAAAAAAACCTGTCTGCATAAAAGAATTCAAAATGATCGTTAATTAAACTCATCAAGCTATGTTTGCAGGATATGGAAAGAATTTGATTACACAACCATTTGACACAGGTATCTCATTGACCAGAAACTGGTTTTAAGAGTCTACCTCAGTTAGGGTAGTATTATTAAGTTTGAATTGGTTTTTTAATGAACATTTTAGGACTTTCAGTAAAATGACCATTGTGCACATTTTGATGTGTTGAAGTCAGTCAAAGATAGGCCAACTGGTTTTCCCCAGGTGAGATATGAGGAGGTGGATGGTCAAAGGTTGTTTTTCTTGGATGAAACAGGGCTTATTCACGGGGTGTGTGCTGCACCATGGAGACGAGAGTAAGGCAGCCTAGAATTAAAAGGTTGAAAATATCCACATCTTCAAGTCAGAAAACTAAAAATGTTCACTTTATGGAGGACAACTGGTACCTTAAATATCTTGATTTCACTCACATGCCACCTGTTTCCTGGAGCTCTGAACAACCATAGGTGGGGCCTCACACATGCTATTTTTACATTTAGAGGGTCATTGACCTTAAGAGACATCACACGTGCAGAAAGTTATAGTGTGGAGTTTAAATAGATTGGTCATTGATGATGGTTGCTGCATAATCATACTATTACATATGCACACATATACATATTACTATTACATATACATTATTACTTATATACGTTACCATTACAAACACATATTACTGTTATATATGTATGTTACCTATGTATAGATACATGTACATTATTACCTATACATATTACTCATATATACATACATGTACATTATTTTAACTACTGATAGCAATTTTAGTAACAAATCAGAGCTATCCCTCAATCAAACTTGGGACATGATTTTCCCTGCCTTTTTGATTTTATAGTTAGTGAGAGGAGAAAAAAATAGTTTTTAGCAGAGTGACAGTGATACTGTTTCTTCAAGTAGAAAAGTCAAAAGTTCCATCTCATTTCAGAAATGCAGACGGCTTTTCATTTATATGTTGATTTCATGTGATCTGGAATGCAACGGAATTTAAATTAGACATGCTCATGGAAGAGAGAACAAAACACCCTGCATTTTCTAATTATATAAGCACTGAGGCTTGGATGATAGATGATGGGAAAAAACTCTCTAGGCAGAAATTGTGATGTGATTTCTTATTGCTCACAGCACTTATTACCTTACACATGTATGCTGAAACTTGTGCCTTCTTTCCTTCTATTATTGAATCCAGTCATTTTTCCTCTGCTATTCTCTACTTTTTTCATGCATATGAGGTTTATTTTCCTGTCTCAACTGTCAGGCTTCTAGAGATTAAGGACTAACAATACATTGAAAAAAATGATAACTTACTTTATTCTTACGTGTTGCATTTGAGGCTGTTTACTATTTTATGCAATCATAGAAATATGTATGATTTTGAATCTGTTTACAAGTATAATTCTCTCAGATTTGGAACTATTACCCCAGTTTTCTAATTGGGGAAACAGAGGCTTACTGTGCATATATAACTTGCCCAAGTTCTCACTGCTGATCTGTAGTGAGGCCAGGATTAGAAGCCAGAGTTTCACTCCAGAGCCTGTATTCTTTCCTCCATCACACACTCCCTCTGTAAGCTCTACACTTTCTCCCCTAGCCTCAACAACCTCAACATTTAACAGAGGACTCAACCGATGGCGATTAGTCTACAGATGCTTGTGGAATTGAGGCGCACCCTAATGTAAACTTCTTCACTATATAAAGTGGACAGGCCTTCAAAGGAAGCGGAAAACAAAGCGGACACATGAACAAAAAGGTGTCACCTGGGACCTAAACACCACACATTGCTTTCCTCAACACTTCCAGCCCAAAGGAGGAAAGACTTCAAAATTAATTCTGCATAAGTGGGAAAAAGAACTCAAAGCAAATATTGCCAACTGACTTGAGAGACAGCTAGGAGAGGATTTGGCTCCAACTGAGCAGACACTCAATTTTGGCATCCATCCAGCTCAGAACTAAGGTCAGTTGTTTAAAACTGGGTCTCAAGAAAAGCCTGAGTGTCGCAAGTGATTATCTTCAAACTTCCCCGACATCTCGGGGGACCCAGTATTAGATTTAGAGTGCTTTCCCTGAGAGTATTTGCATAAGCATTGATGAGCCTTGTTCCCAGTTTGGTTTTTATATTTGCAGGGTTTACTCCAGTGCACCATAGCACCAAGTTTTCCCAGGACATTTAAAAATCTCATTTCTCTACAGCAACACTTCCTTGTTTGTGTTCCTCTTGCACATCCTTCTTGGGGCACACAAGCCATCATTCTCGTTGTTCTTAAGGAGGCAGTCAATTATGGATTTTTATAATTAGGATTCTGAAACATGACATTTGAGACAGGCCTCCTTTCAAACAGAGATCCCTAGGGCATAATCTAATTACCAACAAGGTACAATGCCCACAGTCTTGCAAAGAACTCTGGAGTAAAGGCTCTATGTTGACCCAAGTCATTAATAATAGATCATTAGCTCTTGAGCCAGCATTTATTGAACACCACGGAGTGTCAGATGTGCCGCAGGATGGTAACAAAAGAATGAAGATTCTCGAAGGATTCCCCCAGTGGGTGGGTGAGACCAATTTCCCATCTGGTTGTGGTGAAGCAATGGGGTTACCAGGGTCTACTCCATTCACATTCCAGTAAATATGAACAGGTCCCGTCCACCCTTCTACAAGAAGGGCAGCAAGTTTCCTGAGAAGGCAGAGTTGAGAGAATGCTAATTGTAAAGCATGAGGAAGAAGAGAAAAGAGCAGGTATGAACCCCCGACGATGGAAGTTTTTAAATGACTCTATTGGGGGCCAACACAATAACAATGTCTATCCTCTAAGAAGTCTCATAGAGGCAATTTCTTCCTAGTAAGACTTACACAGCCCTTCACCTGGGCACCACTCAGTACAAAGACTTTGTTCTTATCTTGGTCCCCCTTAGAATATTTGGCTGGCTTAATGTCTGAACCCTGAAACCTCCCTGGATCCTGGCTATCTCTGATATAGGAAATGCACAGTGCATTTGCTCTGTCCTAGACTAAGCCTAGGGTTAACTCTCATGTCACTTGGAATACTTTTTTCTGGAAAAAATTTGCTTTCAGTTTCTTTGGTTCTGGTGACCCACTGGAATGCTAAGTACTGTTGAAAAACTGATCATTTTATTGAGTAAATTTGTCAAACATTTATTTATTCATTCAACAAGTGGTTCTAGAGTGCATATCATGTTGCCTGGCACTGTCCTAGTGGCTGGCAATGCAGCAGGAGCAAAACAGACAAAATTCTCAGCCCTCATGGGGAGACAAGAAAATTAGATACGAGTATAGCATGCTGATGGTGTTAACTTCTAAGGTGAAAAAAAGGCAGGGAAAGTGGGTAAGGAATTTACGAAGGGTGCGATGGGTAGGGCTGCAATTTTAGAAAGGCTAGCCAGAAAAGGACTTAGGCAAAAACAACATTGAGTGAAGACAATGAAAAGTCAAAAGAGTGAGTCACAAAAGACATGTGGGTGATGGGCACACTGGGCAAATGAAAATGCAAGTATGCCAGTTCTCAAGTTGGAGTATGACTGGAGTATTCTAAGAACACCAAGGAGGCCAGTATGTCTGAGTTGAATGACAGAGGGAGAGAATGATAGGAAACAGGGTCAGAGATGAAGCTGGGGAGGGGAGAGAGCAGGTTGGAGGCAGGGAAGAGTGGGTAGGACTGTTAGGCCATTGAAAATACTTGAGCATTTACTCTAAGGGAGATGAGGGTCAACAGCATCTGCTACATAGAAAGTTTTCATTTAATGGAATTTTTGGTGAATAGATATGAAGGATTCAGTACTATGGCTAAGTGTCTAAGTTATTTTCATTTCCTAGACACTTAGCCATAGCTCTGTGTCCTTCATATCTATTCACTTATATAATGTACAGGAGTACATTTCTATAATGATAATGGGCTGTTGAGGTAGCCGTATTTACTGACTACTTACTCAAATCTTGCCTTTCCCTTGGCTCCTAACATAGCTGCAAGTCTTAGTCCCTCACTGGATTTAGACTCCAATGTCACCTATTCAGAGAGGCCTTCTCTTATGACTGTCTGAAATGGCACCTCCCATCACTCTCCAGTCTCTGATCCTGTTTTATTTTTCTTCAAAGTACTTAGCTTTATGATTGTTATAGTATAGATTGGAATCACTTGGGAAGATTGGAGTTGAGTAGAATGACATGATGTGTGTTCTATTTTAACAACAATCAATCTAGCTGCTGTGCTGAGAACATACTGAGGGGAGGTAAGGGAAGAAGCAGGGAGACCAGTTGTTTGTAGAACATTGTTTCTCAATAGTCGCAATATATTTGACAGTTTCTTTGGAAGAGCTTATATACATGTTAATCTTGATATGCACCGGGAGTTTGTTATGGGTTTACATAGTCTCCATTCTTAAATGATCCTAAAAATTACAATGTAATGTCTGACAATTTCCCCCTGATATTTTGGTTTAAATTATATTGACTAATAAAATAGACATGGAGAAAACACTCCCCTAAACTGAGACATAGCATTGTGCCAAGAATAGATGAATCTTCTGTAGTGATCTTTGAGGTTCATGCTATCTTCCACTAAGATAAACAGATAGATATTAGATATATACAAACTTTGTGACAAGGATTAGAGAGTACAGAATTTTCAGAGAGTCAGCCTCTTTCCATCACTTATTTACTCTCCCTCTGGGGCATCTGACACTTATGGGTCCAGGGAGCTTCCTGAGGCTTGTCTTCCTTTGAATAGTTAGGAACATAAAGGAAGACTCCTTGTCCAATGCTTTGGCCCTGCAGGATCTGGAATAGTAATGCACTTCTGCAGAGGAGCAGGAATTGGAAAGCTTTGTACCAGCAAAGGATTTTGAATCTACGAAACCCACCTCAAGCATGTGAGGGTAGAGTCAAAGGCAGGCAGTTTAGCGGATGAAGGCATAAAGATTTTGATTCTGCCCAGTCACTAACTAGTTCCTAGTGATAGATGACTCATTTTCTCTTCATGGCCCTTAGTTTTTCAACTTTAACCAGGGAAAGTCAAGATACACTAAATGAAAAAAGAGGCTGCATAATAATGGGTTTAGTATGATCCCATTTTCTTGTTTTAATAATATTAAAAAACCTTTCATTTGTGTTGTGTGTGTCACATAAGTATACCATACAGATATATATGGAGGATATATACACACAGAGATATACACATATATATCTACAAATACATAGACTATTGATACACATATCTAGATAAACACAAAGAAAGATTTTAACATAAGTTACTCTGGAGAGACAGGCAGAATTCTTGGATCTTTGGCCCCCAAGTCTCACTTTGTGTTTTTGGAGATAAGCTAGCTTGGCCAGGGACTTCTCCTCTGCATGGGGAAGAGTGGATCTGCATTCCATCTCAATTTCTGACAAGGCTACCAGGTGCTAGAATCCAAATCATTGTCCTAGAATCCTATAAACAGCTAGCACCCATGCTCACCTTTTTGATACCCAAGCTTGGATTATCTTGCCCCATTTGCAAGAGCATTCCATTACTTGCCCCATAAAAAGGAAGAGTCATAGGGAGATAGGGTCCCTTTTCTGGAGCATAGCCCCACAGTGTGTCCCATGCGTCCAGTTGTACTTAGCCTAGGCTTGTCCATCCACAGAGAAGGGGCCCCTGCAACTGCTTCCTGTCTGCCCTAAATTCCAGCCTGCACCACATGACACTAGCAGGTACTCTTGAGCTAGTACATTTGGCTTAATTGGCGATCAAGGTGTTGATGTGAAAATGGAAGGGTTGGGGAGTGTTGGCTGGGAGTGAGAGTGGAGGCAATGAAGAGAGAGATTACTAATCTTTTTGCTATATATTTTAGTATAATTTTACCAGTTAAAATGAGCATAAGTCTGTAAGTAAAAATCTAGTCAATAAAAGTGGGCACTAAAGGTATTAAGTATTTTTTCCAAATGCGAAGTCTGACCATATATAAGGTACAGCCTGACTTTTTGTGCTCTGGCCTTTCATGTAGTTAGGAGCACCTGGTCAGGCACTTGTACTTTGCTTGTGCTGGCCTCAGTGATGTTTAAAAGAGTAGGGCCATTTGAAGACAGATATTTTGATGTTCCCGCAGATCTTTTAAAGGCTACTTACTCACATCTTGCCTTTCTCTCTGCTCCTAACATAGTCACATGTTACATGTGCTTCTAAAGACACAAAAAATGAGGTAATTTTAGAAAGAAATTAAAGCTTTTGGATACCCTAGCCAAGGGTAAATTTGAACAATTAAAAAGATAATTGGACTGAAACTGGGTTAATAAAAACAGACTTTTGGAGCTCAGGGAATCACAGGGACAGGAAAGCAATTTGATAATGTCTGACCCTTCCACCCATCTATCTGCCCTCCATCTTCTTTTTCTTCTGTGTTGATTCTTCAGGATTACATTGTTTACAAATCAGTTCTGACTTGGAAACTATGCATCACTTAAAGAGAAGAAAAGAAAAGTGCCCTTGTATGTGCCATTTGTGTCAGTCTCAGAGGTGAAGGATGCATTGACCTTCCTATTCCTGACATGTGATTTGAAGGAGGCTTATTTCTTATTCTCAATGGTTTCTTGAGACATTTGAATAATATTTTGAAAATGGGCCAACTCATTTTTAAATAAAAGGCAATTAGGTTACCCCATCTCATTTTTCTCACAAAGTAATATGTATAGCCATGTAGGACAATGCAAATTTTCCAGACTGATTTGGAATGAGCTGAATTATCTTCTTTCCTCTAATTGATTAATTACTCTAGGTTTCAAAGAGGAGGAACCTCCTGGTACTTCAGTTGAAAAAATTTAAAAGCTTATGTTTAAAACAGGAAATTTGTGAAGTGGAAGAAAGGAAGTGAAGGAGAGAGGGAGGGAGGAAAAAAGGAAGGGAAGAAGGAATCCTTATTTGACCTGTACTCCTTTAGAACCCAAAGTTAGTTCTAGTCCTCTCCGTTTCTTTGGATACTCATTTTCCTACACTGGGATTTCTACCTTCCTTCTTTCCCAAACTCAAAAACACAGTAATGATCTTGCTTTTAAGACATATCATATCATGTTTTTCAGTTTTGGATGTTGCTGCCAAGGGCAGTCAGCTCATTTGACTCTATCTACTATGCTGCATTTGAGATTTTGTCAATGCCATTGAATACAAAGGTGAAAGCAAGAGCCCATAAATATGGCTGCATCAAAAAGGTAAGCATTTTGCCTGGTCCCCATTGTTTGGGTAAACTAATCCAACAATCAATGTTGTTTTCCATTTAGCAAGCCTTCTTAAAAGGAAACTTAAAATACTTGGATTGAACAATGCGTGTGTGTGTTAATTCAAATGGCAGGCAAACAATCAACATGGATTATCTAAGGATAGACTTTCTGTGGTTAAAAATTCAGAAATTTAACACTATGTACTTAGACTGTTACTAAGGCCTCTTAAAAATAGCCAATCTATTATTTATCACCTTATCTCCCCTACCATTATTTGAGAAACATTTTGATAAAAGTAATTTATTTCATTTTTCCATCTCTTTTTCCATTTTTTTTCAAGTTACTGTTTTACATATGATTTATTTATATTGGCTATTGTGGCTCTCAAACATCACAAGGCTTATGTTTATGCATTTAAATCTTCTGGGACTCCGCCAAAGCAACTGTTTTCATCTCATTCAATATTCATCCTTTCCATACCAATGAGTTTCTAGGAGACTTTCCACAAGGTCCTTGGAGCTAGTGCATTTTCTTACAATTTTATCTTGAAATGATTTAGGACTTGAGAATAATCATAAGAAAAAAAAACCCAAAAAGAAAGAGTGTGAATGAGATATATAGCATGAATGAGATAATTAAAAATAAATAGGCTTTAAAAGATCATGTCCATACATACAATTTCTGTAATTTAAAAAAGCTTCAGTAAACATGGTACTTAAAGTTTTGTTGTTTGTTTGATAGGTATATAGAAGGTGTAAATATGCTATGAGATGATTGCTGGCTTTTCCAAATCTCTTAGTTCACATTCCTGGCAGAAATGGTTGGGGTAATCCATCTTTGAGGACTAAACCTGAGAAAATATTAAATATCAGTTCTTAAAGCTTTAAAGTGGTAGGCTTGATTTCAATTTGCTAACTCCTTTCTTCAATGTCACATTTTAAAAATGGCTTTTCTAAAATTTACTCTCCCTTACACAGGGATGAATTAAACCAATTAAATGTATATACATGGCCCTTTCCAAAACTAGAATTCCGAGATTATTCACATCAAAAAATAAGTGAAGTGGAATTTTAATAATCTATTCAAAGACCCCAGCCTGTGTAGCTCATCTACATGGTGCTGGTTTCTTTAAATAGAGAAAATTTATTGAAAACAAAAATGCCTTGACTAAATTTTACGTTGAAAGATAAAAGGGAGACCCACGAGGCCTGGGATTTTCCAGATAGAAGGTGCAAAATTTCTATCTGCCAAGTGCATGGGATCTTTGAGTGACCATCCTCAGCTAGATGCTACAAGACAACAAGTCTCAGCAGAGATGAAGGCAGTTGATATCTGTCACTTGAATGGTTACCTGCAAATTATTAGGTTTTAATAATAGAGTCTTGTTTAGATATTGTTGCAGTTTATAATTTGCGTCACTGATCTGCATAAGTACATGGAGCCAACTCTTATTATTCATAGATATTTATGTATGAATTTGCTTACTTGTTAAAATTTATTTGTAACTTCCAAATCAATATTCATGGCACTTTCTTGGTTATTTGCAGACATGCATAGAATGGTGAAAAATTTGAGTTGCTTGATGTTCACATTTCTCGGCTGAGGTTGAATGAGGTAATCCTCTGCTTTCTTGTTCTGGCCCTCATACTGTAAGCAAGTATTCTCTTTGAGGTCTATTTAGTGCTATGTTTTTTCACGTTTTTGTGCTTTTTGGTGGTAATTTTGCTTTTGAAAATGTTCCTGGCTGGGCATGGTGGTGACTCATGCCTGTGATCCCAGCACTTTGGGAGGCTGAGGTGGGTGGATCACTTGAGGTCAGAAGTTCGAGACCAGCCTGGCCAACATGGTCAAACCAGTCTCTATTAAAAATGCAAAATTAGCCGGGCATGGTGGCGCGCACCTGTAATTCCCAGCTACTCTGGAGGCTGAGGTAGGAGAATCGCTTGAACTGGGGAGACGGAAGTTGCAGTGAGCAGAGATCGTACCATTGCACTCCAGCCTGGGTGACAGAGCGAGAGTCTGTCTCAAATAAAGAAAAAAGGAAAATGGTCCTAAGCACACAAGGGTTATGATACGCCTTACAGAGAAAATAGGTTGCATTAGATAAGCTTTATTCAGGTAAGAATTATAGTGCTGATGACCATGAGTCCAGTGTTAATTAAATAAGGTGCCTTAAAACAGGAATACACATAATACAAGGTTATGTGTGATCAATTGATGAAAATATTGTGACCTGAGACTCACAGGAATCCAACTCTGTATTTTCCCTTTGAGCAATTGATCAGTATTTGCTAATTTGGTATTCACTGAAACTTTATAGAATATAACTACTGCAAGTAGAGAGAATCTACAGCATAACATAATGTTTATAATAAATTAATTGGCTTGAAAGATTTATTATTTTCATTATTTATTTACCCTTTTTGAGAGAAAATTAAAGAGAAGTTAGAAATACTGAGAATAATACAAAAAAGGCCATGTAAGTACTACATAACATTATCAATGAACAACAACATTTTGTTTTATTTGTTTAATCTTTTTTTAAAAAAACATGACACATCGGCCAGGTGGGGTGGCTCGAGCCTGTAATCCCAGTACTTTGGGTGGCCAAGGAGGGCAGATTGCCTGAGTTCAAGAGTTTGAGACCACCCTGGGCAACATGATGAAACCCCGTCTCTATTAAAATACACAAAATTAGCTGGGTGTGGGGGCACATGTCTGTAGTCCCAGCTACTCTGGAGGCTGAGGCACAAGAATCACTTGAGCCCCAGAGACGGAGGTTGCAGTGAGCCGAGATCGCACCACTGCACTTCAACTTGGGTTTACAGAGTGAGACTCCATCTCAAAAAAAAAAAAAAAAAAAAGAAAAGAAAAGAAAAGAAAAGAATTAAAACATGACACACAAAGCATGTAAAGTAAAAATTCCCCTTGCTCCATTATGCTCTTCCTCAGAGACAACTGCTATGAATTTGTTTTTCATCTTTTTTCATACTTCAATATACTTACATATCCATGAAGCAGGCATGCTTACAAATAAACTAAGGCATTGCCCTTTGCTTTTTTTTTGGAGACAGTCTCACGCTGTCACTCAGACTGGAGTGCAGTGACGCTGTCTTGGCTCACTGCAGACTAGATCTCCAGGTTCAATTGATCCTTTTGCCTCAGCTCCCCAAGTATCTGGGACTACAGGGATGCGCCATCATGCCTAGCTAATTTTTTTGTATTTTTTATAGAGGCGGGATTTCACCATGTTGCCCAGGCTGGTCTTGAACTCCTGAGCTCAAGTGATCCTCTTGCCTCAGCCTCCCAAAGTGTGGGATTACAGGCATGAGCCTCCATACCTGGCCCAGCCCTTTGCTTTTGATGTCTATCTATGATGATCTAAATAGCTTCATCTCATTCTTTTTAATGGTTCTATAGTATTCCATCACATAAATATACTACAGTTTATTATCCATTCTCCTGTTGATAGGTACTTTGGTTATTTTCAATTTTTTAAATTTCTTTCTTTTTTTTTTTTTTTTTTTTTTTTTTTACTATTTTAGCAGGGCTGGAATGAGCATCCTTAAATTTGTATCCCTGTGTACTTATGGAAGAGTTTCCTTAAGCATATGTACCTAAAAGTGGCACTGCTGGATTAGGGAATGAACATATTTAGTTTCAGCAGATATTTCCAATTGGTCTCCAAATTGTTTGTACTTTACATTCTTATACTCAGTCCCTGACAACTCATAAGAAAACTATAATATTTATGTTAGGCTTTCTGGAGACACTTATTCATGTAGCACTGGGCTTGAAATCTTCAGCCTTTCTGAAGGTGGAAAGTGAGGCTTCTTAAGTTTATCCAAGAAGCATCCAGGTTTTACCACATAAGGCTAAGAACTATGTGATCAATAAAATTAGACTTTTGGGCCAGGTGCCATGGCTCATAACTGTAATCCTAGTACTTTTGGAGGCTGAGGCAAGAGGCTTGCTGGAGCCTAGAAATTTGAGGCCAGCCTGGGCAACATAGTGAGACCCCATCTCTATAAAAAATAACAACAAAAAATTAGCCAAGAGTGGTAGCATGTACCTACGGTCCCAGCTACTTAGAAGCTGAGGTGGGAAGATTGTTTGAGCTTAGGTTGAGGCTGCAGTGAGCCATGAACACACTGCTGCTCTCCAGCCTGTCTCAAAAAATATATATATACTTTTAATAGACATGGAAAATGTTCACAATATAATGTTTAATTTAAAAGGAGCTGGGCACTGAAGAGGGAGGAGGCAGAGAAAGATGGAATAGAACTCTCCAGTAATCACTGTCCCCGTAGGAACACTAAATTTAGCAACTATCCACACAATAAAGCACCTTTTGGAAAAACAAAAAATCAGGTGAGCAATCACAGTACCTGGTTTGACTATCATAGCAAGAAAAGAGGCACTGAAGAGGGTAGAAAAGGCAGTCTTGAATTGCCTACATTATCTCTCCCCATTCACCAGAAGCAGCTCTGTGGTGCTGAGAGAGATTCTATGTGCTTGGGGGAGGGAGACAACAGTGACTGTGGGACTTTGCATTGGAACTCAGTGCTGCCCTGAACTCACAGTGGAATGCAACACAGGACAGAGTTAAGCTGGCACCCATGGAGGGAGCAATTAAACCAGCCCTGGCCAGAGGGGAATTGTCCCTATCGGTGGTTAGAACCTGAGTTCTAGCTAATTCCACCACCATGAACTGACACACTCTGGGGTTATAAATAAACTGGAAAGGCAATCTAGGCCACAAGGACTGTAATTCTTGGACAAGTCCTGATGCTGTGCTGGGTTTGGAGCCAGTGGACTTGGGGTGCACACAACCCAGTGAGATATCAGCTGGCCAGCCAAGGGAGTGCTTGTGCCATAGTTCCCCCAGTTCCAGGCAGCACAGCTCACAGCTTTGGGAGAGACTCTTCCCCCTTGAAGAAAGGAGAAGGAAGAGTAAAAAGGACATTGTCTTGCAACTTGAGTACCAGATCAGCCACAGTAAAATGAAGGACCAAGCAGATCCCTAAAGTCCCTGATCCCAGGCCTTAGCTCCTGGATGGCATTTCTAAACCTGCCCTGGGCCAGAAGGGAACCCATTGCCCTGAAGGGAGAGTCCTAGGACTGGCAAGATTTATCACTTGCTAACTGAAGAGCCCTTGGGCCTTGAATAAACAGCTGTGGTAGCCAGTCAATACTTGCCATGAGTGTGGAGCTACAGTGGCTACAGGGAGAGACTTCTGCTTGAGGAAAGGAGAAAAAAGATTAAAAAGAACTTTGTCTTGCAACATATATGTCAGCTAAGCCACAGTAAAGTAGAGCACCTAGTAGATTCCTAACATTCCTGACTCTAGGCTCTGGCTCCTGGACAGTATTTCTAGACCCACCCTGGGTCACAAGGGAACCTGCTATTTTGAAGGGAAAGACACAAGCTTAGTTGGATTTACCACCTGCTGACTAAAGAACTTTTGGGCCTTGAACAACCATCAGCAGTAGCCAGGCAATGGTTACCACAGGCCTTTGCCAACTGCTAGTACTGTTCTGGCTTCAGGTCTGACCAAGCACAGTCTCAGTGGTGGTGGCTATAGGGGTGCTTGTGTCACACCTTCCCCAACTCCAGGCAGCATAGCATAGAGGAGAGACTCCTTTTGTTTGGGGGAGAATAAGGAAAGAGAACAGAGACACTGCCTGATAATACAGGGAATTCACCTGGGTCTTTCTCAAGACCAATAAGGTGATATCTATATGAGTCTGTAAGAGTCTGCATTAAGGGGCTTGAGGTGCCCCCTAAAGCAGATAAAGCTGCAGTGACCAAAGATTTACAACACAATACTCAATTCACTTTCAATACTTGGAAAGCCTTCTCAAGAAGGATGGGTATAAACAAGCCCACACCATGAAGACTACAATAAATATCTACCTCTTCAATGTCTAGATACAGATGAACATCCACAAGCATCAAGACCATCCAGGAAAGCATGACCTCACCAAACAAAGTAAAAATGGCAGTAGAGACCAATCCTGCAGAGGCAGAGATCTTTGGCGTTTCAGACAGAGAATTCAAAATAGCTACTTTGAGGAAGGTCAATGAAATAACAGATCGATGAAAGATCAAGACAACACAGAGAAGAAATTTAGAATCCTTTCCAGATAAATTTTAAAAAGAGATTGAAATAATTTTTAAAACTCAAGCAGAAATTCTGGAGCTGAAAAATTCAACTGATATACTGAAGAATGCATCAGAGTCTCTCAATAGCAGAATTAATCAAGCAGAAAAAAAAATTAGTGAGCTTGAAGACAGACTATTTGAAAATACACAGTGAGAAAAGGCAAAAGAATAAACAGAGTAAAAAAGAAGTGGGCCAGGTGCAGTGGCTCACACCTGTAATCCTAGCACTTTGGGAGGCCGAGGTGGGTGGATCATCGAGGTCAGGAGTTTGAGACCAGCCTGGCCAACATGGAGAAACCCCTTCTCTACTAAAAAAATACCAAAAATTAGCTGGGTGTGGTGGCATAATCCCAGCTACTTGGGAGCATGAGGCAGGAGAATCACTTGAACCAGGGAGGCAGAGGTTTCAGTGAGCTGAGTTTGTGCCACTGCACTCCAGCCTGGGCAACAAGAGCGAAACTCCATCTCAAAAAAAAGAAAAGAAAAAAGAAAAAGAAAAAGGAGGAAGTATGCCTATAAGATTTAGAATATAGCCTCAAAAGGGCAAATCTAACGGTTATTGGCCTTAGGACAGACACACACACACACACATGCACACACACACACACACACACACACACACACAGAGAGAGAGAGATATCAGGGTACAAAGTTAATTCAAAGGGATAATAACAGAGAAATTTTGAAACCAAGGAAAAGATACCCGTATTCAAGTACAAGAATAATGCAGAACACCAAGCAGATTTAATCCAAATAAGACAACTTCAAGACATTTAATAATCAAATTCCCAAAGGTCAAGAATAAAGAAAGGATCCTAAAAGCATCAAGAGAAAAGAAAATAACATACAAAGGAGCTCCAATATGTCTGGCAGCAGAGTTCTCAGTGGAAACCTTACAGGCCAAGAGAGAGAGTGGCATGACACTAACACGCTGAAAGAAAACAATGTTTACTAAAGTGCTGAAAGAAAACAACTTTTATTATAGGATCCTAGAGCTTTTATCCAGTGAAAATATTCTTCAAACATGGAGGAGAAATAAAGACTTTCCCAGACAAACAAAAGCTTAGGATTTTCATCACCATCAGACCTGTCCTACAAGAAGTGCTAAAAGGAGTTCTTCAATCTGAAATGAAAGGATGTTAATGAGCAGTAAGAAATCATCTAAAGGTACAAAGCTCACTGGCAATAGTAAGTACACAGACAAATCCAGAATATGATAACACTGTAATTGTGGTTTGTAAAGGACTCATATCTTGAGTAAGAAGACTAAAAGATGAACCTATCAAAAATAATAACTACAACAACTTTTCAAGACATAGCATAAAACAAAAAAGTTAAAAATGGAAGGATGTTGTTAAAATGTAGACTTTTATTAGTTTTCTATTTGCTTGTTTGCTAGTTTGTCTGTTTATGCAATATGTTAAGCTGCCATCAATTTAAAATAATGGGGTATAAGATGTTATTTGCAAGCCTCATGGTAACCTCAAATTTAAAAACCTACAACAGATACACAAAAAAATAAAAAGCAAGAAATTAAAACATACCACCAGAGAAAATCATCTTTGCAACAAGAAGGACAAGAATAAAGGAATGAAGGGAGAAAGGAGCAAAAAAACAACCATAAAGCAACAAAATGGCAGGAGTAAGTCCTTACTTATCAATAATAACATTGACTGTAAATGGACTAAACTCCCTAATCAAAAGACAGAGTAACTGAATAGATAAAAAAAGAGACCCAATTATTTTCTGCCTACAAAAAACACACTACACCTATAAAGACACAAATAAACCGAAAATAAAGGTATGGGAAAGGACATTCCATGCAAACAGAAATAAAAAAAAGAGCAGGAGTAGCTATATTTATATCAGACAAAATAGATTTCCAGACAAAAATCATAAAAAGAGACAAAGAAGGTCATTATATAATGATAAAGGGGTCAATTCAACAGGAGGCTATAACAAATACAAATATATATGCATCCCACACTGGAGCACCCAGATATATAAAGTGAATATTATTAGAGCTAAAGAGAGATAGACCCTAATACAATAATAGCTAGAGATTTCAACATCTCACTTTCAGCATTGGACAAATGATCTGGACAGAAAATCGACAAACACTAGTCTTAATTTGCACTGTAGATCAAATGGGCCTAATAGATATTTACAGAACATTTCATCCAACGGCTGCAGAATACATAATCTTCTCCTCAGCACATAGGACATCATCAAAAATAGATCATATATTAGGCCACAAAATAAGTCTTTGGAAGTTCAAAAAATTGAAATTATATCATTTCCTCTCTGACCATAATGGAGTAAAACTAGAAATCAATAACAAGAGGAACTTTAGAAACTATTCAAACACATGAAAATTAAACAACATGCTCCTAAATGACTCACAGGTCAATAAAGAAATTAAGAAGGAAATTAAAAACTTTTTTGAAACAAATGAAAATGGAAACACAACATACCAAAACCTATTGGATATAGCGAAAGCAGTACTAAGAGGAAAATTTATAACAATAAGTGCCTAAATAAAAACAAGGAGAAAAACTTCAAATAAGCAATCTAATGAGGCATCTTAGTGAACTAGAAAAGCAAGAGCAAACAAATCCAAAATTAGCAGAAGAAAAGAAATAATAAAGATCAGAGGGCCGGGTCGGGTGGCTCATGCTTGTAATTCCAGCACTTTGGGAGGCCGAGGCAGGTGGATCATGAGGTCAGGAGTTCAAACCCAGCCTGGCCAACATAGTGAAACCTCGTCTCTACTAAAAATACAAAAATTAGCTGGGCGTGGTGGCAGGCACCTGTAATCCCAGCTACTCGGGAGGGTGAGGCAGAAGAATCACTTGAACCCGGGAGGTGGAGGTTGCGGTGAGCCGAGATCACGCCACTGCACTCCAGCTTGGGGAACAGAGTGAGAATTCGTCTCAAAAAAAAAAAAATCAGAGAAGAAATTAATGAAAGTGAAATGAAAAAACAATGCAAAATATCAGAGGAACAAAAGGTTTTTTTTAAAGATAAAATTGACAAACTTTTAGGCAGCCTAATTAAGAAAAAAAGACCCAAATAAACAAGATCAGAGACTAAAAAGGAGACATTATTCAGGACACCGTGACTCATGCTCGTAATCCCAGCACTTTGGGAGGCCAAGGAAGGCAGATCACTTGAGCTCAGAAATTCTGGACCAGCCCAGGCAACATGGTGAAACCTTGTCTCTACTAAAAATTCAAAAAATAGCTGGGTGCAGTGATGCATGCCTGTAGTCCCAGCTACTTGGGGGACTGAGGCAAGAGGATCACTTGAGCCAGGGAGGACAAGGCTGCAGTGAGCCGTGTTCATGCCACTAAACTCCAACCTGAGCAACAAAGTGAGACCCTGCCTCGGGAAGAAAACAAAAAAGAAAAAGTAGACATTATAAGTTATACCACAGAAATTAAAAGGATCACTAGAGACTACTATGAGTAACTATATGTCAATAAATTGGAAAACCTAGAAGAAATGGATAAATTCCTAGACACCCACAACCTACCAAGAGTGAACCATGAAGAAATTCAAAACCTGAATAGACCAATAATAAGTAACAAGATCAAGGCCATAATAAAAACTCACCTAGGTAAGAAAAGCCTGAAACCTGATGGCTTCACTGCTGAATTTTACCAAACATTTAAGGAAGAACTAGTACCAATCCTACTCAAACTGTTCTGAAAAATAAAGGAGGACAGAATACTTTCAAACTCATTGTATGAAGCCAGTATTACCCTGATACCAAAACCAAAGACACATTAAGAAAAGAAAATTACAGGCCAATATCTCTGATGAACGTTGATGCAAAAATCCTCAATTAAATTCTAGCAAACTGGTTTCAACAACACATTAAAAAGATTACTCATCATGAGCAAGTGGAATTTATCCCAGGTATGCAAGGATGGCTCAACATGCATAAATCAATCAATGTGATACATTATATCAACAGAATGAAGGACAAAAACCATATGATCATTTCAATTGATGCTCAAAAACCACTTGATAAAATTCCACATCTCTTCATGATGAAAACCTAAAAAAACTAGGTATAGAAGGGACATACTTTACCACAATAAAAGCCATATACAATAGACCCACAGCTAGTATCATAATAAATGAGGGGAAACTGAAAGTCTTTCCTCTAAGATCTGAAACAGGAAAAGGATGCCCACTTTCACCATTGTTATTCAACATAGTACTAGAAGTTCTAGTTAGAGCAATCAGACAAGAGAAAGGGCATCCAAATTGTAAAGGAAGAAGTCAAATCATCTTTGTTTGCAGATATATAAACTTACATTTGGAAAAACCTAAGACTCCGCCAAAAAACTATTAGAACTGTTAAACAAATCTAGTAAAGTCACAGAATACAAAACAGAAAAATCAGTAACATTTCTATACGTCAACAGCAAATAATCTGAAAAATAAATGAAGAAGGTAATCCCATATACAGTAGCTGCAAATAAAATACTTAGAAATAAACTTAATTAAAGAAGTGGAAACTCTCTATAATGTACAAGTGAATGATCTCTATAATGATATAAATCATTGGTGGAAGAAATTGAAGATGACAGTAAAAAATGGAAAGAAATTCCATGTTCATGGATTGGAAGAATCGATATTGTTAAAATGTCCATACTACCCAAAGCAATCTACAGAGTCAATGTAATCCCTGTCAAAATATCAATGACATTCTTCACAGAAATTTTAAAAAATCCCAAAATTTATATGGAACCACAAAAGGCCCAGAATAACCAAAGCCATCCTGAGCAAAAGGAAAAAACTGAGAATCACATTACCTGACTTCAGATAATACTACAGAGCTGTAGTAACCAAAACAACATGGTGCTGGCATAAAAACAGACATACAGACCAATGGAACAGCATAGATAACCCAGAAATAAATTTATATATATATACAGTAAATTCATTTTCAACAAACTTTCCAAGGCCATACATTGTGTACAGGACAGTCTCTTCAATAAATGTTGCTGGGAAGACTAGATATCCAGATGCAGAAGAATGACGCTAACTCCCATCTCTTGCCGTATACAAAAATCAAATTTATTGGGGAACCTGCCCCAATAGTCACATAGGTTCTTTTCTATTTTCCCTAAGCATCAGCTGGTCTGAGAAATAAAGAGACAGAGTACAAAAGAGAGAAATTTTAAAGCTGGATGTCCTGGGGAGACATCACATGTCGGTAGGTTCTGTAATGCCCCATAAGCCGCAAAACCAGCAAGTTTTTATTAGGGACTTTCAAAAGGGGAGGGAGTGTGCGAATAGGTGTGGGTCACAGACAACAAGTACTTCATGAGGTAATAGAATATCACAAGGCAAATGGAGGCAGGGCGAGATCACAGGACCACAGGACTGGGGCGAAATTAAAATTGCTAATGAAGTTTTGGGCACCATTGTCATTGATAACATCTTATCAGGAGACAGGGTTTTGAGTACAACTTGTCTGACCAAAATTTATTAGGTGGGAATTTCCTCTTCCTAATAAGCCTGGGAGCACTATGGGAGACTGGGGTCTATTTCACTCCTACAGCCTCAACCATAGAAGATAGCAACGCCCAGTGGGGCCATCTTTAGACCTACCCCCAGGCACGTATTCTCTTTCCCAGGGACGTTCCTTGCTGAGAAAAATAATTCAGCGATATTTCTCCCATTTGCTTTTGAAAGAAGAGAAATATGGCTCTGTTCCGCCCAGCTCACCAGTGGTCAGAGTTTAAGGTTATCTCTCTTGTTTCCTAAACATTGCTGTTATCCTGTTCTCTGTTCAAGGTGCCCAGATTTCATATTGTTCAAACACACATGCTCTACAATTTGTGCAGTTAATGCAATTATCACAGGGTCCTGAGGTGACATACATCCTCCTCGGCTTAGGAGATGACAGGATTAAGAGATTAAAGTAAAGACAGGCATAGGAAATCACAAGGGTATTGATTGGGGAAGTAATAAGTGTCCATGAAACCTTCACAATTTATGTTTGGAGACTGCAGTAAAGACAGGCATAAGAAATTATAAAAGTATTAATTTGTGGAAGTAATAAATGTCCATGAAATCTTCACAATCCACATTCTTCTGCCATGGCTTCAGTGGGTCCCTCCGTTTGGGGTCCCTGACTTCCCGTAACACAAATTAAAATGGATTAAGGACTTAAATCTAAGGCCTCAAACTATGAAACTACTAAAAGAAAACATTGGGGAAACTCCAGGACATTGTTCTGGGCAAAGATTTCTTGAGTAATAACCCGCAAGCAGGAGAAACAAAAGCAAAAATGGACAAATGGGATCACATCAAGTTAAAAAGCTACTTTACAGCAAAGGAAACAATCAACAAACTGAAGAGACAACCCATTAAAATGGGTGAAAATATTTGCAAACTATTCACCTGATAAGAAATAATAACCAGGATATATAACGAACTCAAACAACTCAATAAGAAAAAAACCTAATAATCGGATTTTAAAATGGGCAAATCAGACCAGGTGCAGTGGTCCATGCCTGTAATCCCAGCACTCGAGAGGCCAAGGCAGGACTATCACTTGAGGTCAGGAGTTTGAGACCAGCCTGGCCAACATGGTGAAAACCTGTTTCTACCAAAAAACACAAAAGTTAGCCGGGCATTGTGGTGCACACCTGTAATCCCAGCTACTCAGGAGGCTGAGGCACAAGAATTGCTTGAACCCAGGAGGCAGAGGTTTCAGTGAGCTGCGAACGTGCCACAGCACTGTAGCCTGGGTGACAGAGTGAGACCCTGCCTCAAAAAAAAAAAAAAAAAAAAAAAAGGCAAATGATCTGAATGAATTTTTCTCAAAAAGAGACATGCAAATGGTAAACAGGTATATGAAAAGATGCTAAACGTCATTATTCATCAGATAAATGCAAATCAAAACTGTAATGAAATATCATCTCACTCCAGTTAAAATGGCTTTTACCCAAAAGACAGGCAATAACATATGGTGGTGAGGATGTAGAGAAAAGGGAATCTTTGTACACTGTAGTTGGGGATGTAAATTAGTACAACCATTATGGAGAACAGTTTTAGAGGTTCCTCAAAAAACTAAAAGTAGAACTATGGAACTACCATATGATCCAGCAATCCTGTTGCTGAGTATATACCCCAAAGAAAGGAAATCTGTATATCGAAGAGATATCTGCACTACCATATTTATTGTAGCACTATTCACAATAGCCAAAATTTGGAAACAACCCAAGTGCCCATTAACAGATGAATGGCTGCAGAAAATGTGGTACATATACACAGTGGAGTACTATTCACCCATAAAAAAGAATGGGAGTCTGTCATTTGCAACAACATAGCTGGAACTGGAGGACATTATGTTAAGTGAAATAAGTGAGTTACAGAAAGACAAACTTCACCTGTTCTCACTTATTTGTTGTTAAAAATTAAAACAAACTCATGGAAATAGAGAGTAGAATGATGGCTACCAGAGGCTGAGAAGAGTAGTACAGAGGAGGTGGAAATGAGGATAGTTAATAAGTATAAAAACATAGTTAGATAGAATAAGTAAGATCTAGTATTTGATAGCACAACAGGGTGACTACAGTCAACAATAATTTATTCTACATTTAAAAGTAAATAAAAGGCTATAATTGGAATTTTGTAACACAAAGAAAGGACAAATGCTTGAGGTGATGGACAGCCCATTTACCCTGAAGATTATTACACACTGCATGCCTGTATCAAAATATCACATATATCCCATAAATATATATACCTACTATATACCCATAAAATTAAAAATTAAAAAATAAAAGGAGCAGAACACAAATCTGTTTTATACTATGTCTCAGTTTTGTTCATGTATATACGTCCAATAAAGAGTAAAAGGAACAATAACAGTGATAAGAATGATAACAGTTGTTCTTACTTTTTTTTTTTCATTTTCCATTACTGTGTTTTCTACATTTTCTTAGAAAATGGTTTTTATAATCAAGGGAAAAGCAAATAAATATCAAAATAAATAATGCTAAATAAGCAAGAAAGTCCTAGTTTTCATTAAAATTTCAAAACCCCAATACCCAAACCAGTAGCATCCTATGATTACCACCTCTGTTGCTTAGTTCTGGAAGAAAACATGTTCAAGAGATGAGTCAGGTGAATATATTCTATTACCAGTTTGCATTTCAGCCCCTAATACCCAAACCAGTAGCATCCTATGATTACCACCTCTATTGCTTAGTTCTGGAAGAAAACATGTTCAAGAGATGAGTCAGGTGAATATATTCTATTACCAGTTTGCATTTCAGCCCCTAATTCTTCTCTTAGTCCAGTCAGCCCAACTTTTACTCAACTTTCAAGGTTAAGTATTAAGTCAGTTACCTACAAACCACTTTACCAGACTGGCACAGTGAGATGGAAGAGTGCAAATCTTACTAGCAAAAAATGGGAATTGTCCATCAATAGAGGGCTGATTAAATAAATGATAGACTATTATTGACATAAAAAATAATATCGCATTCTCATATGTATTGATATAAAATGATCTGCAAGTCATAATTTCAAGAGAAAAACAAATCCATAAAACAGAATTTAAGCATATGAAACTTTATATGTAGCTTATCATCTCTCTATATATAAATATATATATACATATACATATATGTGTGTTACAAAGCATACACATAAATGCACAGAACATTTTGAAAGGATATTTCTCAAATAGTTACTAGCTTCTGAGGATAGAAGCAAGATTTTGACGTACGTGTGTGTTAAAAGAAGACTTGAACATTTTACTATATTTCTGAATTTTAAAAATCATTTAAAATGGAATTGTATTATGTTTCATTTGTGTAATTACACTTTTAAAAGCAAAAAGGAAATGCATCTGAAAAGTACAAATACCTCACAAATTCATAGAAAATTAGAAAATGAAAAAAGAGTAAAAAAGAAAAGGGATATGGAAACGAGAAGCCAGGTATAAAAAGAGACAGTACTCATTCATTTAAAAAAATTACTTATTGAGGCCAGGCGTGGTGACTCACGCCTGTAATCCCAGCCCTTTGGGAGGCTGAGGTGGGTGGATCATGAAGTCAGGAATTCAAGACCAGCCTGACCAACATGATGAAACACTATCTCTACCAAAAATACAAAAGTTAGCCGAGTGTGATGACGCACGCTTGTAAGCCCAGCTACTCAGGAGGCTGAGGCAGAAGAATCGCTTGAACCTGGGAGGCAGAAGTTGCATTGAGCCGAGATCACACCACTGCACTCCAGCCTGGGTGACAGAGTGAGACTCTATCTCAAAAAAAAAAAAAAAATTACTTATTGAGTGCCTTTATTTATTAAGGCAGTTGAAATATGCTAAGATGAATCAACCCACCTTGTCTTTCTAACCTGCATGACTTCTTTCTTTCAGATTAAATAATTTGCTTATCTACCTCTTTGGAGTCTTACGTTGTCCTTTGACCCATACCTTTTTCCTTTTAATGGTCCTGTTTTGCTGTCAGAAATTTTCAATATTATTTGCAGCTAAACCTAAATCTCTCCATCTGGACTGGGCAAAATTAAAACAGAGTCTATTAACTGTACTCAGTCCTAGACTATGGCTACTGCAGAGATTTGTGAATTGCTAATACGTTAGATGTTTCTGCCTTTTCCCTTTGGTCTGCTGAATGCAGGAGACAGCCACCTATCTGGGAAAGGGTGTCATTTATGTGCTTTTCCCTGCATCTCTCTTCCTTACTCTGAACTCTAAGCTTGTCCCTGGGCACATAGCAATTTCTTCCAGTGGAGGGAGTTGTAAAAGTCCCTGGATCTTTTTCTTTTTCTTCTTTCTTTCTTTTTTTTTTTTTTTTGTTTGAGCTGGAGTCTTGCCCTGTCGTCCAGACTGGAGTGCAGCAGTGTGATCCTAGCTCACTGCAGCCTTGAACTCCTGGGCTCAAGTGATCCTCCCGCTTCAGCCTCCTTAGTAGCTGGAACTACAGGCATGTGCCACCATACCTAGGGGTCCCTGGGTCTTTTGGACTGGAAAAGAGTGGTTTCCGGGTTGAGTCCAGCCTCTGTGGATTATTTGTTTCCCACTCTTAAATCCTCACCCAAGCTTTGGCTGCTCACGATATTACCAGCTAATAATTCCATGACCGCTTCTGCATGGGCAACACAAAAATAGCCAATCAACCCTTCAAATTTTCTGCCATTGTCACACATCTGGCCAAGGAGAGTTGTGGCATCTACAGAATTTTTGGCATATGCCTCCTCCTCATCACCGTTTTTTAGCATACTCTCCTTAGCTCTCAGGCAGCCTGTGGTCTTTCAGGAGGTTGGCAATAGCTATCGCTTGTTTGGTTTGCCTATCATACTTTCTCATCCTTCTTCTTCGGGTAATATCACTCGTTATTTCTGTGTAATTGTTCCCTTTCTCTTGGTATTCCGGTGGGACTTCCCTCTCTTCATATGCAGCAATGGTGATATGACATAAGCAGAGCAATCAGTCTTACTTGAAATTTGTGTATGGCCACATGTAAAAGAAGTCCTTTTTGTGTATGGGCTCATGGCTAGGACATCCCTAAGCCATGTTCTCCACCATATGAAACAGCCCATGTGTGGAATGAAACCAAGAAGAAACAAACAGAAATGGGTGATGGAGGGAGACAGAACAAATCCTAGTGTCAAGAAGTCCCTCTCTGTAGGCCCTGAGGCGTGGTTCCTACAGCTTACCTTTCAGTCCTGCGAGTTTCCCCAATATCCTTCCCAGATAACAGAGCCAATACATTTCCTTTCCACCCTTAAACTGGTTTGGATTAGGTGCCTGTCTCTTGTGACCTAAGAGCCCTGGTTAATACAGCCATCTCCTACTGAGCTGCCCCATCATTGCCTGTCCTCTCTGCAGATTCCCATTTTCAGATGATTCTATATCGCTCTCTTCCAGCCCTTCCATGGTTGGTCCTGTCTCTTCTGCTGCCCTTTCTCAGGCTCTACTCCCCTCTTTTCAAAGTTGGTGATCGGTTGGCAGGGGGCTAAGATAATGGCAGCTGGTACAAGTTTCCTTCTAGGGAGGAATACGTAATTGTTGAGAAGATGAGCTTTCAGGATCTGGATAAAGGAGTACGGGCAGATAACAGGGAGAAAGTATGTCTATTGTTCTCAGGCAGAAGAGGTAGGGAGAATGGTTGGTGGGGTTGTTAAGGAATGTCCTATGAAATAATAGAAAATTTTTCAGTTCACTATGGGGCCTCTGCTGCAGTTATTGGACTCACGAAATGCTTGTGTACGAATGACATTTGTGTGGAAACTACTAAAAGGGCTAGACATTCTGTAATCTGGAAGCATATGTGGGTGGATGGCAGTAGAGAGAATGAACTCAGGGAATCTGCAGAAATATTGGGTAATACTTGTGTATGTATGCAGATTTAAGATTCAAAACAAGTATTACCCAATATTTCTGCAGATTCCCTGAGTTCATTCTCTCTACTGCCAGCAAAGGGTGAGAAACCCCTGACAGCTTACTTAAAAAATATATCTTGTTAAATTTTACTTCAACAATCTTGCAAAAGGCTGTGTCTTGGTGTTAGTTTGAATTTGTTCCTGGGGCAAGTTCTCTAAAACAGTAACTATTTCTGTTGCTATGTGAAAGCAGGCTGTTAGGACTAATCTCATCAGCAAAGAAAACCATAGTATTGGCCGGGCGCGGTGGCTCACGCCTGTAATCCCAGCACTTTGGGAGGCCGAGGCGGGCGGATCACGAGGTCAGGAGATCGAGACCATCCCGGCTAAAATGGTGAAACCCCGTCTCTACTAAAAATACAAAAAATTAGCCGGGCGTAGTGGCGGGCGCCTGTAGTCCCAGCTACTTGGGAGGCTGAGGCAGGAGAATGGCGTGAACCCGGGAGGCGGAGCTTGCAGTGAGCCGAGATCCCGCCACTGCACTCCAGCCTGGGCGACAGAGCGAGACTCCGTCTCAAAAAAAAAAAAAAAAAAAAGAAAACCATAGTATTTATATGATGAATAAACCCTTAATGGCATCTGCAAACCTAAGGCAAGAGAAGCCATTTGATTCTCTCCAAAGTGGCACACTGCCGGGAAATTCACTAAGAGGAAAGATAAGCTCATATGTTTCAGGCTGCTGGATAGGTGGGCACCGGATGTCTGCTGGCTCTTAAGCTACTGTCATGTGAAGGAAAAACAAGAAAGGGATAAGGTAGAGGCTCATGAAAAGGGGCACTTTATCTCAGTACAGCTACTGCCGACTAAGAGGGGAAAGACTGAGGTCCAGGTAATCTCCACTGCTCTAGAAAATCTAGGTCTTTACTCTACAAAACAAACAAATAAAAAATCCACAATGCTGAATGATGAACAGACAAAACCCTAGGAATTGAGTCAAGTGAGTGAGAACAAAGGGTTAAATGCTTCTCTTTGGAATGTAAGGAGAAAAGAGAACTGGGGCAAAAAAATTTGGGATCATAAAAATTTAGTGAGAATGAATGAAGAAAAGGCCAAATTTTGGTTTCTATCCTTAAATCTTGGTTGAAAGATTTAGTACAGTTTAGTAATACTTAATAGCTATTTTTATATGCAGGTCTGTCTTTATTTTATTTACTCCAAAACTTCCAATTCAAGCAAACCACATCCATGGCAAAAGATGCCTGTTTCTCCAGGAGCTTGACCAAATCATGACTGTTTTCCTGGTGTCATGGGACCTTCAGTTTAAGCAACATAGCTTAAGAGGAAATAACCTTTCTGGCATTAAATTAGCAACCTAAAAATGCGGCAGTGATGGTGCTATACTCCCACTCGCAGACATCTTTGGTCTTTTCTGGTTTTTCTAACAACTCTTTTTTTTTTTTTTTTTTTTTTTTAAAGACAGGGTCTCAGTGTCATACTGTTACCCAGGCTGGAGTACAGTGGTGTGATCACGGCTCACTGTAGAGTTGAATTCCTGGACTTCAGCGACCCTCCTGCCTAAGCCTGCAGTGTAGCTGGGACTACAGGCTCATGCCATCATGCCCAGTTAATTAAAAAAATTTTTTTTTTGTAGAGATGGGGTCTCGCTTTATAGCCCTGGCTGGTCTTGAACTCTTAGCCTCAAGCAATCCTCCTGCTTCCACCTCCCAAAGTGATGGTGATACAGATAGGAGACAGGGAAATACTGGGTAGAAGAGGGTGGTTCCCTGGCAAAGGCCCCACCCTCAAGCTTGGATACACACGGTTCTAAATGAGAACAGACATTCCTGTTTCGTGCCCAAAAAGTTGCCTTTTCACCCACCATGCCCCCTAACCTGCATCCATATATACCTCAGGCTCCAGAAACTGACCAGCAAGCCTGCAGACCAGCAGATGGATGGAGGAATGACGGGGCAGAGAAAGGGAGAAGAGGAGGAACATCTGAACGCCAAGAGGAATAAGGCTGGGGGCAGTCCGAAAGGATTCTGTTTGCTGGGCGGCCCGACCCCAGGGGAGGATCATTTTCCCACTCCATCCCCTGCTTCTGACTCCCCATTTATCCTGCTGAAAGTCACCTCCACCTCCACCTCCACCACTCAATAAAACTTCGCATTCATCCTTCGAGTTCGTGCGTGACCCGATTTTTCCGGGAGGCTGGACAAAAGCCCGGGATACGGAAAGCTGTCACGCTGGCCCTCTGCCCTTGCAAAAAGGCAGAGGGTCCATTGAGCTGATTAACACTAAAGCCATCTGTGGAGAGCAAAGCTGAAAGAGCTCTGTAACACTGGGGTTGCAGGAAACCACCTCTAGACTGTACCGCCGGGCTGGAGCCCAAAGCGCTCTTCCGGCCTGTATACCTGCTAATCTGCACGCTCCCCGTCTTTCAAGAGGTTTGAGCAGCAGGGCTACTGAACAGGCAAGCCACACTTCTGTTGCACATCCTGTGAGGGGAATCAGGGACCTGTCTGGTTGCAAAGGAATTACAGACATGAGCCACTGTGTCTGACCCATTTATCTTAAATTTAAGGGGATAACAATGCGGGAAGCTGGAATCTAGAGGAACCACAGTAACTTTGATCTCTAGCTGTGAGGAAGAACATGCCTGCTTCCCAAGTGACCATCCTCCCAGCACCATGATATCTATGAGATCAAGGGCTCCAGAGATTACAGAGACAGCTTTTGGCGAGTGTCAGTGTCCAGGTTGACTGCTGGACATTTCCTGCCAATGTGTTCTAGGGAGAACTAGCCTCTGCCATCCCCTGCATGGCCAACATAAATGAATAGGGTCTGCTCCAGTGATCAATTACTTTTCAATTTAGCAAGGGGAGGCAGGCAGGTTTACTGGTAAGTGAATGTGGGAGTTTTAGATAGTAAAATATCATAAATAAAGGCAGCAGAGAGGAGTAGAAAGGGCATGGATGGGCTTTGGAATTAGATAGCCCTGAGCTTAAATCTTGCCTTCACCAATTACTAGCAGAGTTATATATAATTTGATAAAAGGAGACACAAAATTCTCAGAATAAAAGTCCTAAAAATTCATTCTTCTGTTAATTTTTAGAATCTTGCAGCTCTTCCCCTGAAGCCCTATTCACTGCAATCATTTCACTCTGTGAAGCATTTTTGCATTTACTGTCTACACAAACCATTTGGCTATCAGTAGATGCTGTTACATGAGCTTGATATATTTATCATATTTAGTATTTTTTTCTTTTCCCATGATTAGAAAATAAGCTAAGAGCAGAAAGAGGAGACTATGTCTTACACCTCTTTGTATCCTCTTCAGTGAAGAAACGTCCTTCACTGTTGGGACTCTATTGGCCATTCCTGGATATTTAGCATCTCTGGACCACAACACTAAACACCAGTAATACCTGCCAGTCATGGTGACCAGTTCCCACCCCTCAAATACCCTTACAAATTTCCAAAGGTCTTCATCAGGGTGGTACAACCTTTGGTTGAAAACCACTACAGTGTCCAATATATAGTAAGTATATATTTGTTCAGCACACATGGTTGTTTTGTTAGTTGCAGTAGGAAAATTTCTGCCTGAAATTTATTACTTTTTTTAAACAAAAATGCTTAAGAAATTGGTTCATTTGACATCCTTTCAATCCTAGTTCCACCTATTAATTTTTGTGGGTGAAAAGGTCTTTTTGTCTATGTTACAGGTTGCTTTCCCTGAGATCTGAGGAGGATATTAGTGTGCAGGAAGTTTATTATGGAGTGCTTTTGGGGATCAACACTAGTGGAAGGAAAAAAAAAGGAAGTAAGATTAAGCGGAAGAAGTTGGACTATAATGCAGTTTCAACAAAAGCCTGAACTAAGCCCAAAAATAGCTCTGAAATGGAGGTGGCCCTTCAGAGTTGTACCAAGCTGGAACAAGGGGACCAGATGTTACTGTTCCCTGTCAATCAGTGATTGGGTGTAGACTATCTTAGAAATAGGGCATGAGCTGGCATGAGGCAACTCTGTTCAGCAGAAGGCAGGTATGTAAGAGAGCTGCAAGCTGAGGGCTCTCTGTGGGCCATGCTCTCAGCAGCTGGTGGAGTAAGTAAGTTCATCAGTCCTAAAGGGGTATGTTGGAGTGTGCATCATCACAGCATGCACTGCAGTATGTATCAGTTTATCTGTACACAAATGAGACCTCAAATAGCTGTAATTTTAAAAAGTTAAAAACTAGTTACTCTTCTACATAAGTCAAAAGAGAGTTAGCTCCAAATAATATGAGCGTTCTGTTACTAAAAAACAAACAAACAAACAAAAATGCCAGGGGAACAGATGTTATGGTCTGAATGTTTGTTCCCGTCTATATTCATGTGTTGGAATTCTAACCCCCAAGTGGTTGTATAGGAGGTGGGGCATTTGGAAGGTGGTTAGGTTATAAGGATGGAGCACTCATGGATGGGATTAGTGCTCTTATAAAAGAGACCCTGGAGAGCTAGCTATGTAATAGTTCCTTCTGCAGTGTGAGGTTTCAGTGAAACATTTCTGTCTATGAAGGAAGCAGGCCCTCACCAGAACCCACCTGTGCTGGCAAACTGATCTTGGACATTCTGGCCTGTTATAAAAATAGAGAGTAGAATGGTATTGTAAGAAATAAACTTCTGTCCGGGCACGGTGGCTCACGCCTGTAATCTCAGCACTTTGGGAGGCTGAGACGGGTGGATCACGAGGTCAGGAGGTCAAGACCATCCTGGCTAACACGGTGAAACCCCGTCTCTACTAAAAATATAAAAAATTAGCCGGGCGTGGTGGCAGGCACCCGTGATCCCAGCTACTCGGGAGGCTGAGGCAGGAGAATGGTGTGAACCTGGGAGGCGGAGCTTGCAGCGAGCCGAGATCCCAATACTGCACTCCAGCGTGGGCGACAGCGAGACTCAGTCTGAAAAAAAAAAAAAGAAAAGAAATAAATTTCTGTTGTTTATAAGTCACCCAGTCCATGATTATTTATAATAGCAGCTGAACAGAATGAGACAATGGGTATCAGACAATGGATATTAGAGGGTAGCAATGTCTATGAAGCTTTATGGTAACATATCAACACTTTGTGTATATACACATAATGTTCATGGAATGTTAGCTTTAAGGCCCTCTCTCAGAATTTCTCACACATGCAGAAAATCTCAGCAGTACAGGAACAGACTTAAAAAACTGCTGGTTTTTCCATCTCTGCTTATTTTTATTTCTCATTTTATTATTTGTATAAAAGTTGGTTGTAATCAATTCCTTAAAAAACTTTATTTAAATTGACAAATTAAAATCATATGTATTAGTTGTATACTTTTGAAAATATACGTGTACATTATGGAATGGCAAACTCAAGCTAATTTACATACACATTACCTCACATATCTTGTCTTTGTGGTGAGAACACTTAAAATGTACTCTCTTGGCAACAGTTGAGAATACAACAAATTGTTAGTAACTATAGTCACCACATTGTACAATAGATCTCTTGAACTTACTCCTCTTGTGTAACTGAAATTTTGTACCCTCTGACCAACATCTCCCCAGCCTTCACCATCCCCTGCCCCAATCCCTTTTAATCTCTATTCTACTCCCTATTTTTATGAGTTCAACTTTTTTAGATTCCGCTTATAAGTGAGATTGTATAGTATTTATGTTTCTGTGCTGGCTTATTTCACTCAGCATAATGTCCTCCAGCATTCCTGTGCGTGTGTGTGTGTGTGTGTGTGTGTGTGTGTGTATTAATATATATGTATACCACGTTTTCTTCATTCATTCGTTGATGGCATTTAAATTTATCCCATATCTTGTCTTGGCTATTGAAAATACTGCTGCAATGAACTTGGAAATGCAGATATCTCCATGATATACTGATTTCATTTCCTGTTATATATAACCAGTAGTGGGATTGCTGGATCACATGGTAGTTCTATTTTTAATTTTTTGATGAACCTCTATACTGTTTTCCATAATGCCTATACCAATTTTCATTCCCACCAACAGTGTGCAAGTATTCTCTTTTCTCCATATCCTTGACACCATTTATTATCTTCTGTCTCTTTTTTAAAGACAGTGTCTTCCTCTGTTGCCCAGGCTGAAGTGTAGTGGCATGATCATGGCTCGCTTCAGCCTTAACCTCCCTAGCTCAATCAATCCTCCCACATCAGCCTTCTGAGTAGCTGGAACTGCAGATGTGCACCACCATGCTTGGATAATTTTTTTATTTTTCATACAGATGGGGTTTCACCATGTTACCTAGGCTGGTCTTGAACTCCTGGGCTCAAGTAATCTGTCCACCTCTGCCTCCCAAAGTGCTATGATTACAGGCCTGAGCCACCATGCCCAGCTTCTTTTGCCTTTTTGATAATTGTCATTCTAACAGGTATGAAGTGATATCTCATTGTGGTTTTAATGTTCATTTCCCTAATGATTAGTAATTTTGAGCATGTTTTCCATATACCTGTTGGCCATCAGTATGTCTTATTTTTTATTTAATTTATAAAGAAAAGGGGTGTATTTGGTTTGTGGTTCTACAGGCTGTTGGTTCATGGCACCAGCAACTACTTGGCTTCTGGTGAGGCCCAGGAAGATTTTACTCATGGCAGGAGATGAAGAGGGAGCAGGCGTGTCACATGGCGAGAGCAAGAGCAAGACAGAGAAGAGGAGGTGCCAGGCTCCTTTAAATAACCAGATCTTGTGTGAACTCATTACTGCACTCACAGCACCAAGGCATTCAAGTGGGATCTGCTTCCATGACCTAAACACCTCCCACTAGGCCCCACATCCAACACTGGAAATCACATTTCACATGAAACTTGGAGGGAACAAACATCCAGACTATACCATTTGCCCCTGCCCCCCCAAAATCGTATGTCCTTTTCACATTGCAAAACACAGTTCTCCCTTCCCAATAGTCTCCAAAATTCTTAACTCATTCCAGCATCCAAAGTCCAAAGTCCAAATTCTAAAGTTTCATCTGAGACTCAAGGCAAGTTTCTTTGACCTATGAGCCTGTAAAATCAATATAAGTTATTTACATTCAAGATACAATGGTGGCACAGGCAATGAGTAAATATTCCCATTCCAAAAGGAAGAAATTGGCCAAAAGAAAGGGGCAACAGATCCCACACAAGTCTGAAACCCAGCAGAGCAGACATTAAATCTTAAAGCTCTAGAATAATCCTTGACTCCATATCCCATATCCTGGGCACACTGGTGCAAGGAGGGGGCTCTCAAGGCCTTGTGGCTTTGCAGGATGCAGCCCTCATGACTGCTCTCACTGTTGAAGTTCAATGCCTTCAACTTTTCCAGCCTCAGGGTGAATGCTGCCAGTGGCTCTACCATTCTGGGGTCTAGGGGGTTGTGGCCCAATTCCCTCAACTCCACTAAGCAGCACCCCAGTGAGCACTCTGTGTGTGGGCTCCAACTCTACAGTTTCCCCCAGTACTGTCCTAGTACAGTCTCTCTGTGGGGATTCTTCCTTGTGGTAGGATTCTCTGCCCACCACAGAGAGCACCCAGACTTTCTCATACATCATCTGAAATCTAGATAGAAGCTGTCATGCCTCCTTCACTGTTTTATTCTGTGTACCTGCAGGATTAATACCACATGGACTGCCAAGACTAAGAGCTTGTGCCCTTAGGATCCTAAGCAGCAGCCCGTGATTTACCTTGGGCTCTTTGAACTGTTGTAGCTGGAACAGCTGGAATATAGGGAGCAATGTTCTGAGGCTGAGCAGGGCAGCAAGCCTGAGGCCTGGACTCTGTAACCATTCTTTCCTCAGGCCTCTGGGCCTGTGTTGGGAAGGGCTACCTTGAAGATTTCTAAAATGTCTTTTTCCCATTGTCTTGACTATTAGCATTTGGCTTCTGTTTAGTCATGCAAATCTCTCTAGTGAGTGGTTGCCGTACAGTGCTCTTGAATTCCTCTCCTGAAAATCTTTCCTTTTCTACCACATGGCCAGGTTGCAATTTTTCCAAACTTCTACGCTAAGCTTCCTTTTTAATAATAAGTTCCAACTTTAAGTCATTCTTTTACTCCCACATCTGCTCATAGATGCAGCCATGCCAACTCTTGAACACTTTGCTGTTTAGAAATTTCTTTCACCAGATACTTTAGGTCATCACTCTTAAGCTCAGCCTTCCACAGACCCCTAGGGATTTACAATGCAGCCAAATTCTTCGCTAAGGCGTAACAAGGGTGACTTTCGCTTTAGTCTCCAATAAGTTCCTAATTTCCATCTGAGATGTCCTCAGCCTGGGCTTCACTGTCCATATTTCTATCAGCATTTTGGTCACAACTATTTAACAAGTCTCTGAGAAGTTCCAAACTTTCCCGTTTTCTTCTGAACCCTCCAAACTCTTTCAACCTATGCCCATTACCCAGTTCCAAAGCTACTCCCACATTTTCAGATATCTTTATAGCAATACTCTACTGCTTAGTACCAATTTTATGTGTTGCTATAAAGAAAATACCTGAGGCTGGGTAATTTATAAAGAAAAGAGGTTTATTTGGCTTATGGTTCCACAGGCTGTACAAGCATGGGACCAGCATCTGCTCAACTTTTGGTGAGACCCATGCAGCTTTTACTCATGGCAGAAGGCCATGTAAAGGGGGAATAGGCCCCTTTAAAGGGGGAGAAGGCCATGTAAATGGGGAGAAGGTGCCATGTAAAGGGGGGAGAAAGTCATGTAAAGGGGGAGCAGAAGGTCATGTAAAGGGGGAGCAGATGTGTCACATGGCAAGAGTGGGACCAAGATCCATTTGTATATCTTCTTTTAGTCAGGTTATTTCTTTTCTTATTATTGATTTGTTTGAGTCATTATATATTTTGGATAGTAACCCTTTATCAGATTTAGGGTTGCAAATATTTCCTCTTAATCTGCAGATTGTCTCTTCACTCTGTTGAATATTTCATTGCCTGTGCAAGAAAACAATTCTTGTTTTTAGTTAGATGTAATCTCATGTGTCTATTTTTGCCTTGCAATTAATTTTTGAATTGTGTACTTTTTGCTTGATAGCTTACAATCTTAATAAATGCTGTAACCACATCTATTTTGCTCATGCCTGCACCTTCAGCATCTAGTTCAAGGCCTGGAATGTAGTAAGAATTCAGTTAATGTTATTGGAAATAATTAATACAAAGTAGCATATATCAGCATGAGTTATTAATAACACTAATAGGTAACATTTATCAGTTGTTAATATGGGCTTGTTGTCACAACTATCATCTCTTAATCCTCACAACAATTTTATGAGGTAGGTACTGTTGTTATCCTATTTTATACTGAGGAAACTAAGGCTCAGAAAGATTAGTAACTTTTCCATTATGATTCATCTCATAACTTTTATTGCCTTTTCTAGCTCGATAGCACTGTCTAGAACCTTCAGTATAATGTTGAGTAAAGGTGGTGAGAGTGGACATCCTTATCTTATTCTTGATCTTTGGTGGGAAGCATTCAAACTTTCACCATTATGTAAAATATTGGCGGTAGGCTCTATTTCTAGTTTGCCAACAGTTTTTGTCATGGTGTTGAATTTATTAAATGTTTTTCTGCATCTCTTGGCATGATTATGCAGTTTTTCTTTTTTTAAGTAACACTAAAATTGGGAAGTTAATTTTTAATACCACTTTTCAATAACACCAAAATCTATGAAATACTTATGAATGAATTTTGTTTGAATTTATGTTGAAGACCTATTCCCTAAAAACTGCAGACCATTCCAGGGAGGAATTTAAGATCTAAATACACAGAGAGATATACCATGTTTATTGTTTAGAAGTTTAAATATTAAGATTCTCAAATGGATTTATAGATTCAATGCAGTCCCAATAAAAATCCAAGCAGGCTTGATAAGTTGATTCTAAAATTTTGCCAATGGACAGGCAGTGGCTCATGCCTGTAATCCCAACACCTTGGGAGGCCAAGATGGGTGGATTGCTTGCACTTAGGAGTTCGAGACCAGTCTGGGCAACATGGCATAAGCTCGTCTCTACAAAAACTTAAAAAAAAAAATAGCCAGGGGCAGTGGTGTGCACCTGTAGTTCCAGCTACCTAAGAGGCTGAGGTGGAAGGATGGCTTGATCCTGGGAAGTGGAGGTTGCAATGAGCTGAGATCATGCCACTGCACTCTAGACTGGGCAACAGAGCCAGACTCTATCTTAAATAAATAAAATAAAGATAAATAAATAAAAGGAAAAAATAAAATAAAATTTTGCAGTAACTTAAAGGACCAGATCCAAAAAGCCAAGTTAAGACCCCAAGCTCTGTGCAATTGCTTCCTTTTTAGAATACTGAATTCCTCAGGGAGAAGGAGAATCATACCTTCCAGTGATCACAAGGATATTGGAACCTAACTTGACTCTCCATTTTTCAGTGGTTGTCCCAGACTTGTTCTTACTGGCATCATCAAAAATAGAGAGCTCCATAGTGCCTTCAAAGTCCTGTTGAAAAACAGACCTCAAACACTCATCCAATCATGGTTCAGCATTGTGGACTGGAAGAATATTATACATGTGGAACTGTGGTCTGGGCATGGCCTACAAGCCCATGGCCTCTGGCCACCCCACCTAGTTTTTCTTTATTAGTCTGTTAATGTGATAAATCACATTCATTGCTTTTCAATATTAAGCTAACCTTACATTCTTGGAATAAATTCCATTTGGTGATATTATTATTCTTTTTTTGTATTGTTGGATTTGATATGGTAAAACTTGTTAAGGATTTTTGCATCTTGTTTATGAGAAATGTTGGTCCATAGTTTATATATATATATATATATATATATATATATATATAAAAAACATCTGTATTTTATATCAGTATGTATATATAAAATATCTATATCTTATTTTGTTATCAGAAAATTGCTGGCCACATAGAATAAGTTCAGAAGTGTTTCCTGCCTTTTTTTGTTTGTTTGTTTGAGATGGAGTCTCACACTCTCACCCAGGCTGGAGTGCAGTGGCGCCATCTTGGCTCACTGCAAGCTCTGCCTCCCGGGTTCACACCGTTCTCTTGCCTCAGCCTCCCGAGTAGCTGGGACTACAGGCACCCACCACCACGCCCAGCTAATTTTTTGTATTTTTAGTAGAGACGGGGTTTCATCGTGTTAGCCAGGATGGTCTTGAACTCCTGACCCTGTGATCCGCCCACCTTGACCTCCTGAAGTGCTGGGATTACAGGCGTGAGCCACCGTGCCCAGCCATTTCCTGCCTTTTATTTATTGAAAGAGTTTGTGTAGAATTAGTATAATTTCTTCCTTAAATACTTGGTAGAGTTCACAAATAAAGCCATTTAGACCTGAAGATTTCTTTTAGAAAAGTTTTTAAGTGCAAATACAATTTCTTTTTCTGTAAATTGACAAATCATAGTTGTATGTATTTATGATGTACAAAGTGATGTTATGGTTTAATAATATAATGTGAAATAATTAAATCAAGCTATTAACATATTCATTACCTCAAATACTCATCATCGTTGTGGTGAAAACATTTATAGTTTCTTTAATAAAGAGCTATTTAGGTTATCTATTTCCTCTTGAGCGAGCTTTGGTAGTTTGTATCTTCCAAGGAATCTGCCCATTTAATCAAAGCTGTGAAATTCATTGCCATAAAAGTTGCATGTAAGATTCCCTTTGTTATCCTTTTAAAGTCTATAGGATCTATAGTTGTGTTCCCTCTCACTTTCTCTTTTTTTGAGATAGGGTCTCACTCAGTTGCCCAGGCTAGAGTGCTCACTGCCATCTTTGCCTCCCTGGCTCAAATGATCTTCCCACCTTAGCCTCCTTAAGAGCTGGAACTACTGACACATGCCACCATGCCCTGGCTAATTTTTGTTGTTGTTGTTGTTGTTTTCCTTTTTTTTAGAGATGAGGTTTCACCATGTTGCCCAGGCTTGTCCCAAAGTCCTGAGCTCAAGCAATCTGCCCGTCTCAGCCTCCCAAAGTGCTGGGATTACAGGCGTGAGCCACTGTGCGTGGCCCCCTCTCACTTTCTTAATATTAATAATTTATGTCTTCTGTTTTATTCCTGATCACTCAGACTTAAAATTTATCAATTTTATTAAAGTTCCCAAAGAGCTATCTTTTTGTCTCATTGATTTTCTGTATTGTTCTGTTTGTTATTTAATTGATTTTAGTCTTATCTTCATAATTTTCTTTTTTTTGCTTTTTTGAGGGGAGGTTATTTGCTGTTTTTTATCTTGTCTCTTAAGTGGAAGCTTGGATAATTAATTCGAGATCTTCTTTTCTAATATAGGCCTTTAATGCTAAATTTTTTTCTCTAGATATTAGTTTAGGTATATCTCACAATTGTTGATATGTTGTGTTTTCTTTTAGATTCATTTAAAAATGTATGCTAATATCCACTGTGAATTATTCTTTGGTCCATTATTTGATTATTTAGAAGTGTGTTGTTTAATTTTGAAATATTTGAGAAATTTGAAGGTATTATTCTGTCATTAATTTCTAACTTAATTTTATAATGGTTAAAGAACAATAATGTGGTTTGGATCTGTGTCCCCACCCAAATTTCATGTTGAATTGTAATCCCCAGGGTTGGAGGTAGGGCCTGGTGGGAGGTGACTGAATCATGGGGGCAGTTTCTCATGGTTTCACACCATCCTCTTTGGTGTTGGCAAGAGTTAGTGATCATGAGATCTGGTTGTTTAAAAGTGTGTAGCATCTCCTCCCTGTGACCCTTTCTTCTGCTCCAGCTGTGTGAAGTGCTGGCTTCCCCTTTGCCTTCCACCATGACTGACTGAAGCTGAGCAGATGCTGCCATACTTCCTGTACAGCCTGCGGAACAGCGAGCCAATTAAACCTCTTTTCTTTATAAATTACCCAGTCTCAGGCATTTCTTCATAGCAGTGCAGGAATGGATGAATACAAACATACTTTGTATAATTTCAATCCTTTTAAATTTGTGGAGATTTATTTTATGACTCATATATAGTCTCTCTTGGTAAACATTCCATGTGTTTGTGGAAAGAATATGTATTCTGCATTCTTGGATGTAAAGTCAGTTGGTCAATCTTGCTGATAGTGTTATTTAAGTCTTCATATCTTTACTGGTATCCTTTCTATCCTGAAATCTCCAACAATAATCATCAATTTATTTATTTCTCCTTACTGTTTCTTCTATTGTTTTATGTGTTACTAGGTGCATACATATTTAAGATTGTTATGTCTTCTCAATAAACTGAAGACTTCATTTTTATGAAATGAACTTTATACTTAGTGATATTTTTTGCACTGAAACCTTTTTTCGATATTAATATAGTTTCTTTATTTAGATTTCTTTTGATTAATGTGTACATGAAATATCTTTTTCCATTTTCTTGTAACCTGTGTCTTTATTTTTATTTCTATTTTTTTGAGACAGGGTTTCACTCCTGTCGCCTAGGCTGGAGTGCAATGGAGGGATCTCAGCTCACCGTAACTTCTGCCTCCCAGGCTCAAGTGATTCTCCTGCCTTAGCCTCCTCCGTAGCTGGGACTACAGGCACCTGCCACCGTGCCTGGCTAATTTTTGTATTTTTTGTAGAGATGGGGTTTCACCATGTTGCCCAGGCTGGGCTCAAACTCTGAACTCAAGTCATCTGCCCACCTCAGCCTCCCAAAGTGCTGAGATTACAGGCATGAGCTACCATGCTGGGCACCTGTGTCTTTATATTTAATGCTCCTTGTAGACAGCGTGTAGTTATATCTTGATTTTTAAAATTAAACTTGACTTTCTCTGTTTCTTATTTTGAGTTGGACCATTTTATTTAATATGATTATTGATACCGAGGGGTTTATATTCATCAGAGGGCTATTAATTTTTTATTTGTCCTATCTGTTTTTTGTTCCATTTAGTTATCTCTTTTTTTTAACTTTATGTTGGATTAATTTAATATCCTTTTTTAAGTATTCCATTTTATTTCCACTTTTGGCTTATTAAGTCTACTTGTTTTACTTAATGGTTTAAGATTGACAATAAATATTTTTAGATAATGGCAGTATACCTTCAAACAATATTACACTATTCAAGTGTAGCATAAGAATCTTGTAAGAGTATACTTCCATTTCCCTGTCATGCTTTTGGTGCTATTTTTGTCATATAACTTACCTCTACATATATTTTAAGCTATACATTTTGATTATAAAATTTATAATATACATTCTTATTATATAATTTGTAATATATACAGTAAATATTATCTACATAGGTTATAGACTATGCATTATTATTATACATTTATAAGATAATTGTTATATACAATTAACTTCTACATGTAGTATAAGCTGTGTATTATTATTACTTTGTTTTAAGCAGTCTATAAGAGATTAAGAATGAGAAAAAAATGTATATTTATTCACATATTTACCATTTCTGATGCTCCTCATTTCATTGTTTCAATGCAGATTTTCATCTGGAGTCATTTTTCTTTTGTGTGAAGCAATTCTATTAATATTTTTTGTATTTTCTTTTTAGTGATAAGTTTTTTCAGCTTTTGTATGTGGGAAAGTCTTTATTTCTTCTTAATTTTTAGAAGATCTTTTTGGTTGAGTATAGAATTCTAGACTCACGGGGTCTTTTTTTCTTGGCGTACTTTAAAGATTGTTTTTCATCAGTGCCATGAGTGGCAGGCCTTTTTGACTGGAGATAGTTGGTAAAGCCCACAACTAATAACAGATCAAGTTGGCAGATAAATATCTCAACTCTTTTTCTCCTCAGGTGGGATGATCCTGAGGCGTGGCCTACTCTATTTCCCAAAAGTTTCTAGTAGGAATGAACTCCAGTTGCCCACATCAATAACTTGTTCATTGAACTGTCCTGAGTTTGCTTCCTTCTTTTCCCTATCTTATTGCCTCACTTTTCTCTGGACTTTCCTTGGATCACTTCCCAAATAAACTACTTGTACCTAAATCCTTTTCCAGGGTCCGCTTATTGGGGAAACCATTCAAAAACATTAACTACAATAAAAATTGTGATGGTGGCATGCAGATGACTCAAATTTGGGAAACAATGCAATGGTCAAAGTTGATTTGTAACATTTAGTTAACCTGATAATAGAAAGATAAACAGATGCTATTAATTTGTGTACTAAATGTTCTCTGCTGGCATATATTAACTAATGTCATACAGTAAGGTTAAGTTAGGTTGATTTGACTAAAAGATAATTCACTGAGGGAATACCACCCATTTGCACTGTAATCTCTGCCACTGTCATACTATTGTCAAGAAATTTCTTTACACTTTGACCCGATCTGTCTCTATTGCTCCTCTTCCTTCTATTTCTTTGTATCATTTAAAACCTGATTTCTTCTATCTTACGATGCTCTCAAGTAGTGATTGCTTCTTTATTCTTTTTCCCTAAACCTCTGAATCTAGAAAATAAGTTCTTATTTTTGTTATTCTTCAGTGCTATTTCCAGATTATTGCTGCACTGACATCTATCTTGTTATTCTATCATCATTCTTTCCTTAAAGTCCAGGATGTTAGATCACCTTCTTTCCAGCTTTGTCACTGTCTCCTACCAACCTGTAAATAACACTCCTCCACATTCCTGAAGAGTTTGAATTCCATGTGTTGGCCACCCCTTCTTTCTTGAAAACACTTTCCACCCTTAGAATCCATGAACTTGTTTTTTATCCCACATTTTAGTTCTTTCTCAATACTGTTCTGCTAACTCCTAGTCCTCCAGCCCCTTAAAGGCAGGCATTTTCCAAGGTTCTTATCTCTCCTACTCTCTACTCTCATCTTTTCCTTCACATTTTAAATCAATACCACTTTCTTATATCTGTGCTTAAGGAAGATTAATCTGGGGGTATTTGCAGGTAATATCAAAGCTAATGGCCCCTCTGTGACCCCTTCAAATTTATTCCCTATACTGCCCATAGATTATAGATTAATCCTTACAATTCATAGCCCTCATCAAGTTTAATGACCTTCTTTAGTTCTTCATTACTTACATGATATAGACCCAATTCTATGATCCTAAAGTAAAAGTTTATACCTGCTATTTAACCAGAAAAGCTTACTCTTGTATGTTGTAGGGAAGCTGTCATTCATTCATTCAATCCAACAAGTATTTTTTAAGCTCTTCCTATTTTTCAGGCTCTGATCTAAGTGCTGGGAATACATTGGTGGACACAGCCAACCTAGATGTCCTCCCCTCATGAAGCTTATGGCAGAAAGTAAGGTAAACACACAATATACAATAATGCGTAAGTAAATTAGTATGCTAATTTACTTGATATATGATATAAAAATAAAATGTCGAGTAGAGCAGAATAAGAGGAGTTGGAGTGTTAGTGAGTGGACGTGTGTGTGTATGTGCATACGTGTGTTTGTGTGTGTGTGTGTGGTAGTGGGGAGGAGGCAGGCTGCAAAGGTTTGAAGGACATCAGGGAGTGAGTCACGTGGACAGCTGATGTAAGAGCCTCGCAAATAGAGGTTCGCAAATAGAGAGGAGAGCCAGTGTAAAGGTCGCGATATAGAACTATGCCTGGTATGTTGGAGAACAAATTAATGTCATCATATTTATCCTCTTCGTGATCAATAAACTTCAATACCTCCTCCACCAACCCTTGAGAGTATCATTGTATTACAGTCATTCATAAGAGTGGATTAAACAGATACAGAATATTTGTATAAGAGAGCAGGAAATAATATGATGCATTTTTAAAGACCTCTGCTAGAATGTTTTAAAAAAAATTTGCATTATTTTAGCCATTAACATTTCCTAAGAGTTTCAAGAAGGCAGCATTTCTAATATATAATAGGAGAACAAAATAGTAATAATGTGCCTAGCAGTATAGTATATAAAAGCAAAGTGAACTGCATCAAAACATAGATTAAATATTAAAAATATAAAAGCCAGCTTTTTTTCCCCAATGTGAAAAAAGTGAAATGTCCCAGTTAGTTGTTCAGCAAGTAGCACACAGACTTAAAAATAGATTGTTCTCAGAAAGACAGACAATACAAACTAAATTATGCTTTTTAATTCTTCATAATATCAATTTTTAAAGTAGAAACATAGGAATTTTCATTTTTATAGAGATGATTTAAAACATAGCATTGTTCTTAATATGTTTCATCATATTTTTAAAAATATAGACAAAAAATTACCTCTCACATTGTGAATTTTTTTTTAATAATTCTTTTTTAAATTTAGACAAGTACCTTTTGGTGGTCAAATTGATGAATACATTCAGTGGGACTAATTCTGGATTAATTTCTTGTAACTTAATTTTGTAGCTGCCAATTCCAAAAGCCAGAGACTTGTGTACCAACTAACTGTGAAAGGTTTTTTCAAATGAGATTCTTAACATTATCGGTATAATCATGGTCATTATCATCATTGTCATCATCATCATCATCATTACTTTTCCAGCCTCCTGCGTGGTTCTGGCTTCAGTAAAGGAGACACTCAGACTTTGAAAGCTGAATCAAAGAGGGGGAAGCTGTCTTACATTGTCTGGGTGATTTTGTAAAGGGGTCACAGTGTATTCAAGTTTTTATTTGGCTCATCACACACTATGTGGCATGCTGTGTTCCTGCAAAGACATTTTCAAATAAGCTCACATACACAACTTCTAGGAGTTGAGATGTAGACAGCCTTTCAAGGACAGCCATTCCACCCACAACACATGGTTAAAGGCAAGTGGCCCAACTTTCTGCTATAGATTAGATATGCTAATGTTCAAAAGGAAAGAACTTTGATGTGAAATGTAATGCCACCTCGGGAGAGTTTTGGGACTTTGTGGGGTTACAGTGAAGGGGAGCACTACCGGCAGAGTGGGCAAGGATCTGGGTTGTTCCTTGCCTTGGGATATGTGAGACACTCCAGCTTGAAGAATTGTCCCATGTCCTCTGCAACTTTCCCAAGTTGTCCCCAACTTGTCATATGTTCCTGAGGACATTCACGTAGGTGAAAAACCTGTTTATAATGATCTGGGTCTACAGCATATCTGCATTTTACAAACAAACAGGAGGTTATATTATCTGTGAATTTCATTTCAGGGTAGTGAAAGGGATATTATAAAATATCTATTATAAAAGGGGAAGTTGGGTCTGAGAGAGTGGATACTCAAAGAGAAAAATATCCCCCAATGTGTTTTTATCAACTCTTTTAATGTGAATTTTCTGGGAGATAGTATTTTATCAGCATTTCCTAAAGTAACCCCATTGTCAGCATCTCCCTCAGTCATGCATATTTAGATCCTCATGGCTTGTGACAGTGTCTTGGAGAGTTGTCTAGAGCTCCTGAGATGGAAACCAGGATCCTATGTAGTGAAATCTCCTTACCCAGCCCTGTTGGGTGGCACTGAACATTGTAACTAGTCTTTCTGAAGCTTGATTTTCTTATTTCTCAAAGGCCAATCACTCAAGGCAGGTGGGCAGATCACTTGAGGTCAGGAGTTTGAGAGCAGCCTGGCCAACATGGTGAAACCCTGTCTCTACTAAAAATACAAAAATTAGCCAGGCATGGTGGCAGGTGCCTGTAGTCTCAGCTACTCGGAGGCTGAGGCAGGGGAATTGCTTGAACCCAGGAGGTGGAGGTTGTAGTGAGTGGAGGTCGCACCACTGCACTCCAAATGAGACTCCATGTCAAAAAACTAAAAATAAAAATATAAAATTACATATGTTTCTTGCATTTTATTTCCATTGGCCATCAAGTGATTGTTGCTAAAAGCTAAATCTAAAAATCCCCTAATAAATAAACTATGAGGGTATATCTAAATACAAATTGGATACTCAGAAGTAAAAACCCTCTGAGCAGAAATAAAGCTCACCAAGGTTGGTTTCTTCCTCTGTTCCACTTCCTCCCCATATGGCATTTAGAGATATGAAAGTGGGGGAGGATAATAATTCACACTTCAAAACCAAATGCTCTGGTGGTGCTCCTATAATTAACTCCATTAATGGTAGGCTGTGACCCATGTTTTAAACATCTGTTCTGCTCTCAGATTGAGTGTGTCAAAGCAATGTCTTTTGAAGGAATTGGAAGGGGAATACAAAGGAGCTGTATTTTAGGGAGCTCTGAAATATGTGGCTCCTGGTGTGTGATGGCCTTCAGATAGAATTCCTACCACACCCTAAAAGACTACAGAATCTGGGCTCCTACCAAGATCCTCCCACTCATTCCCTTCTGTCCTCATTGTCTTCGTCTGGTCCTTGAAAGGCCAATCATGTTGTATTGCCTTGACTCTCCTTAGAACTTTCTTCCCCCATACTTTGTACTTCATTCAGGTCTCTGATCAAAATGTCCCCTCTTTTCTTGATTTCCTTATATAAAATAGATGCTATTTTGCCACAACCAATTGTATTTCCTTACCCTACTTCATTTTGCATACAGTACCTGACATTACATTACATAGTTATTTGATAAATTGTGTATTGCCTCTGTCTCCCACTAGAACATAAGACCAGTGAGTGCAGGGACATTATCTAATGCATTGTTTTATCCTCAGTGTCCAGAGCAGGAACTGGCATAAAATCATCTCCTGGTAAATATTTGTGCCCTGAATGAATTTCACTCTTTCTTAATTGTATATTTTCCACCAGGCCCAAAGTTCCAGATTGATGCTTATTCATGTGTTTCTCCTCCATGTTTCTTTGTGATTTAACTGATGTGCTTTTCCCGGGGCAAGAGTCTTACCTTCCATTTTTGTTTTACTTTCTGAATTTCCTTTTAATAATTAATAAGTATCTTTGCCTAATCAACCATTATTTTTTTCAATCCAAACTATTTGTTACTCAGGACTTAAAGGACTAGTTAGAAGTTTGGCTACAAAAGGTTTGGCAGGTTTTAAAGGCCTCCAAACATGGTTCAGTTAATTCATTATGCAAACTTTGCAACCACAAATCACTGGAACACAGGAAAGATTAATGGAACAGTGCAAGGAGACTTAAGGCAGATTTTGGAAAAATAGATTCCTTGAATTATTTACTATTTATGTTGATTGGGAAAAACAGAAGTTACTGGTTACCATTGTAGGAGGGTAGCAGAATATACCACTTCAAAATATGCCATTTTGGCATCAGGATTATTTTGAGCTGAAGGCAATTGAGAAGATGCGGATACAAGAAAACCTCTCTATCCTTTATTTCCCTAAAAACAGTGCATAAATTTGCGTAGATGTCCCCCCCTCTCTCTACTATGAAGAACAAAAGTTAATCAACATAGACAACTTTAGACCTTTATGAGCCTAGAGATGGCACCAGAGGAACCTACATAACAAACTTTACTAATTAGCCCTTAACCTTCCACTTTTTCCTCATGTATTTGCCTTTCCACAATCTGTTGCCCCTAGAAATGCAAAGTCCTTTTCCTTTGTCTTGTCAGTTATCTAAAAATGTATTGTTCCTCGGCTAAGATGCTAGATAATCTCAAATTAGAACCAATCCTTTAAGTTAGTCATCTATGGGTACTCCTGTATGTAAGCACCATGCACATGCTAATAAATTGTTTTTCTCTTGTTAATCTGTCTTTTGTCAATCTAATTTACAAGGCCCTAGCCAGGCTCTAGTGATCCTCTCATCTTGACCTCCCAAAGTGCAGGGATTAAACAAAAACAAAAACCAACCCCTGAAATGTACCTTTAGATATAAAGTTACAGAATATTGCCATTTTCTCAAAGGTAATGTATATGAACAGATACTAATGATGAGGCAATGGGATGAAGTGTTAGGCTTTTCTTCTCACCTATTTGTTTTGACTAAGTCTGGTTCTTTCGTTAGTCTTCTGTTTGGCCAGCTGATCTTTGAAATGGGTGTGTGAGCACCATACCCTCCCACAGGACTGCAACTTTGACGTCAGCAAGCTTCATTAGCTGCTGTTTGTCTAACCAAAGAGAACACGGGAAAGGTGGAATCTGTCTTTTAATTATCTGTCTGCCCACACGCCAGGTGTCACTTGCCCAACATTCAGACATCAAATAGACCAAGCCAAGCAAGGGAACACGGAACAACAGGAACAAAAGGCATAAAAGGAACCCAAGAGAGGCTGCTGGGAGAGCAGATTTCACTGTTGTGCTTCATGAAAGTATAGAGACACGATGTACCTAGAAGTTAAGCGGACCCAGATTTGTATCCTAGCTTTGCCACTATCAGCCGAGAGACTTTTTGCAAGTTATTTAAATGTCTGAGCCTTATTTCCAAGATTAAAACAGGAATAACAATACAAACCTTCCAGGTTTTTTTTTTAAATTAATGAGTGACATGTATGTAAACCATGTGCTGCATTGTACTACTCAATAACTAGTAGGAGTTATTGTTTCTGATATTCTAGGAAGAAAGAGGGCATATGATGATGTCTTATTTCATGTCTCATGCTCACATCGACACTGACTATGGAACCAGCTTGCAGAGGGATGCCCTGGAGCCAGAGCCACCACACAAACATTTTTTGCCCACTTGAAACTTCTCACTTCAGCCTCCACTAGGTTTCTGTTCTGTGGAAACCACAAGATCACATAAATTTCTCTAGAGTAGGAAGTGAAGCTACAAGAATCTTTGGTGTGTCAAGCTGGTATGACCCTTCCCTTGGGTCAGAGCCTTGAGGGAGCTAGCATAGAATCACAGTCCAGATACAAATAAGACTTTTACCAAGGCCAAGGGAGAACCCAAATACATAAACGAGAGTTGAAGTAAAGGAGAAGGCAGTAGGGTTAGCCATTAATTTAGCCAAAGATCATCCTGTGTATTAGCAGGTAACCTTGGGCATGTTACCTAACCCAAGTCTTATTTTCCATTGCTGTAAAATAGGGATAATGAATACCTACCTCAAAGGTTTATTACCATGATCAAATATGATAACATTGGTGAAGCACCTTACAGATTACTCAATACTTAACAAGTACTCAAAATGTCAGTTGATACCTCCTTTCCACAAATCCTCTTTCTCATATAGCAATGTGTTGGAGCTGGCTCACACTGGAGCTACGTGCAATTGTGTTCATCTCTTCCCCACTTCATGTTCAGGGATATCATGTGGATTACTTGAAATTTGCTATGGTGGGAGTATTTACACCATGGATATTGGCAAATTGCTGTAAGTCAGGGCTTCCTCAATACCTTCCACCAAGAAAAAGCTCATTTTAAAACCTTAATCAGCATACCACTAGGTATTGAGCAGGTAATTTAACATCTTTGACCCTCAGTCTCCTCATCTTTCAATGAGGGAGAATACAATTCTTTCAACCTCACAAGAATTTTGTGTCAACATAATAAAAAATGGAAAATGACTTGAGAGTAGTGATGATTAATATTGTTAGCTAGAGAAGGTGCTGATGTATTTCTTCCTGAAAATAACAAGTCCTAGTTTTTCTGAATATTCTGGGAAGGAAGAAGATCATAGGTGAACATCTCAAGTAGAATAAGGTTGGCATACTTACCTTCTAACCAAATACACTCAAGTATATATGTGCTAGGTCCTATGCTGATGCCAAGGCTATAACAGTGGTGAAGATAGACTCTCTGCCTTTAGAGGGCTTAGTATAAGGGAAGACAGGCTAGCAAACAAGAGTAACCATCTTGAGAGATAAGTGTAATGACAGAGGTAAGCATAGGTTGCTCTAGAACTATGCTATCTAATGTGGTAACCACTAGCCACATATAGCTACATTTCAAGTATGAAATGTGGGTAGACCAGAATGACATGTGCTGTAAATGTAAAACACACCAGATTTTGAAGACTTACCATTAAAAAAAGTAGACTATCTCATCAATAATTGTATTATGTTATTTGTTGAAATATTAACATTTTGAATGTGTTGGGTTAAATAAAACATTATCAAAATCAATTTCATTGGTTTCTTTTTTACTTTTTAAATACAGCTACCAGAAAATTTTAAATTACATATTTTTCGCCTGTAGTCCCAATAATTTGGGAGGCTGAGGTGGGCAGATCACTTGAGGTCAGGAGCTTGAGGGCAGCCTGGCCAACATGGTGAAACCTTGTCTCTACTAAAAATACAAAAATTAGCCAGGCATGGTGGCAGGTGCCTGTAATCTCAGCTACTCGGAGGCTGAGGCAGGGGAATTGCTTGAACCCAGGAGGTGGAGGTTGTAGTGAGCAGAGGTCATGCCACTGCACTCCATACGAGACTCCATGTCAAAAAAATAAAAATAAAAATAAAAAATTACATATGTTTCTTGCATTTTATTTCCATTGGCCACTTGTACAGCTTCTTTGGAGAAATGTCTATTGAAATCCTTTGCCTGTTTTAAAATTGAGTTGTTTGTCTTTCTGTTGTTAAGTTGTAAGTGTTCTTTATTATTCTAAATACTAGACCCTTATCAGATAAATAATTTGAAAAAATTTCCCCCGATCTGTGGGTTGTCTTTTCACTTTCTTAATAGTATCTTTTTTGAGATTGTTTTGCCTATTCCAGGTCTCTTTCGTTTCTGTATTAATTTTAGAATTAACTCATCCTTTTCTTCAAAGAAGGTAGCTGGAATTTTGATAGACATTGCATTGAATCTGTAGTTCAATGTGGCGAATATTAACATCATCATAATATTAAATCTTCCAACCCATGAACATTTATTTAGGTGTTCTTTAATTTCTTTCTGCAATGTTTTGTAGTTTTCAGTGTACATGAAACTTGGTTAAATCTTTGCCTAATTATTTTATTTTATATGCTATTACAAATTGTCATAGTGGAATTATAGTGACTTTATTAGGGCTTGCTTTGACTGTATATTTCCCCAATTTCTCTGTTCAGCTATCTGCTTCTGTTAGTATCACACTCAGCTTTTATGCTCCATTAATTACTGGCTGATTGCTCTGTTGTTTTGGATAATGCACAGGATGTTAACTTACTTCATAGTCTGATACAATTGAATTTGGGCCCTTTGCAGAGATAGTTTTTAAGGCAAGTCTTTGAGATTTGTTCTGACCCCTGGAGGGCTCTCCTTAGCAGTCTCTAGCCAAACTACAGTTTACCTCATTACTCAAATGAGCTACCAGCCTCCTCTTAATTCCTTACTACCAAAATCTTCATTGTTTTTGAGAGTGACCTTAGGCTTGAACTTCCCCATACTGTGTTTCAAATAAAGCCCATTTCTTTAGGAAGAAGTTTGGAACTTTCTATTCTTCTGAAAAAATAGAAAGGGAGCACCTCTGCCCCTGAACAAAATCTTGGAGCCCCTGTTCTGGAGCAGGAGAAGAAAACAGTGTCAAACTTCTCTTGGAGTGACATTCCTGCTTAACAAGCAGGGCACTGGATGGAGGTGATAGCCTCTGCTCTTCTGGTTTGCCTCTTCCAGCATGGAATCTCTGTTGCATGAATAAGCTGAGGCAAGAGTAGTCACGATCTCATTATTTTCAGCCTGCCAGATCTGGGGCCAAGCCTGCGCCTCTAAAAGTATGAGATGAGTGGAGGAAAGGAGCCACTGTATTTTGGCCACACTTATCTAGAATTTAGCCTCAGCAACTTGGAGCTGGAGGGGATGAGAAATGCTGTTGGTCTGCCCTTCTTGGGAAGATAACGTATTACTTAACTGGAGGCCGAGAGTTGAGGGACCTTGTTTTCTTGGCCATCCACCCAGATTGGAGCTTCAGGCATTGCACTGAAATATGGATGAATGAGGACAGGAGTGGTGGTGGCTCAAGTGCCAGACTCTTGGTGTTCTTACCGAGATTTGGTAAATTTTCTTGAATAAATCTTTCTTTATTTGCATATGCCCTTAGATCAATTTTCAGAGATGTGAAATCGTTGTTTTAATACAATTTTCATTAATTATAGCTGTTTCCTGGAGAGCGGGGTCCTTAGAGCATTTCATGGGGGCTTTCTGGAAGTGGAAGGAGTAGTATTATTTTAGACAAAAGTCTAAAAACCATAAAGGGGAAATTTTGTTGGCTTTTTACTGTATTTAAATGAAAAACATTTGTTCAACAACAGTTGGCATATAAGAAGTTATCTAGTGAATACAATGGGGCTGATTGAAATAAAATATCTACACGGTATATTGATAATAAAATATTACATACTGTTAATGGATATACATCTAGAATGCATAGAAATCCCTGCTAATCTGCAACAAAAGATCAGCAGCCTAACAGAAAAAGGAACAGTAGATGTGAGTAGGCAATTCACAGAAAGTGGAAATCCTTATAGCTAATAAATTCATGAAAAGAGGCTTAGCTTCATTAGCAGTCATTTAAAATGCAATTAAAATGAGATTTCATTTTTCTCTCAACAATAGGCAATAAGTAAGTAATATGCTATCAAATGTTGATAATAAATGGGGAAGCAGAAAGCTTCATGCACTGCTGAGAGTATAAGCTTTTGGAGAACAGTCTGGTGGTTTTTAGTGAAATGAAATATGCATTTCTCTTATAACTCAGGAAATCCCATGCTTGGGCAATTATCTTGGAAAATATTTCACAAAGAAACATTGTTACTAATATCTGTCAGAGCAGAGATTTGGAACCAACCCAAATGTTCATCAACAGGGAACAGATGAACATAATGTGGTATATGTACATTATGAAATACAGTGTTTCAATAAAAAAGAAGGAACTAGATCAACATGTGTCAATGAGGGTAGTTCACAAACGTAATATAGAGTATAAAAAGTAAAAAGCAAAATAAAAGGCTTAGCACAATGCAGTTTATACAAAACACAAAATAATACTTTATGTTGTTCATTGTTACACAAACTTGTGAATAAAGGTATGGATGATGGAATGACATGCGTTAAATATATGAGATTGAATGTGCATGATGAGAGAAGAGATGGCAAGTGGCATTGAGTATGGGAGGTGAAGATGACAAAAAATGCATACAATTAAATTTAAAAGGGCCTATGCAGGTTGTGCTGTCAATCATGTGCTACAAACTCTAGAGTATGATTCATCCTATCATTCAGATTCTGGATGTGAGAGCCTCACAAATATTAGTGATGGCAATAAAATGAGATAATGTGTGTATAAGTGCCCAGCAGGGAAACCAGGCATTGCTAGGTCTCCTTTCCTTTCTGACTATCATATTGAGGTAGTATCCGAACAAGACAGATAAATATTCAAGATAGACTTTGAAAATTCCTACAAAATTTATAGTTTGAATTACTTTCGTAAAAACTAGGCATGAATTACTATTATAAAAATTACTATTTATTTGCTTACACTGGCCAGTGGCTCAGCCAGGTAGAGACCAACTGAGAGCACAAGAGTGTAAAAGGAAAGTATTTCAGCAAGGCAAGCTGTCAAGGCTCGTATGAATTATACATAGAAAATGAAAAATAAAAAATTCTGGGCAAAATCTGTAAGTTCTGAAATATGGTCCAAATGGTGCCATCTGCTCATAAAATCACAGAGAGGCTGTTGGAACTTTCCAGCACTGGGTTGGATTGTCTCCACAAAGCTGCCGAGGTAAAATCCTGTAGCACCAGATCATCAGGAGAATTTCCAAGGGAAGAAGCCCACTGTATGGTTTAACTCTCTTTGCCTTATGTATTTTTTTGCACAGTAATCTCCAAAGTAAAGGAAATGAAGTTTTACCCTCATAAACCACCTCTTCAATCTATACTTCCTTCTCCTGAACTAAAACCTGGAATCCACCCACTTTATTATCACCACTATCCAATTCATAACCATCTTTCAGATCTCATTTCAAGGCCAAGAGAGAGTGGAATGAGCAAGGGCATTGGATACAGACAAACCTGGGTACCAGCTTAGACTCAGCTTCTTCTTATTAGCCACGTGACGTTGGGCATGGTTTTAAATGTCACTGTGCTGCAATTTCCTAAGTTAAATGAGGGAAATGATATCTAACTTTTGAGTTATTGTGAGGGGTAAAATACTAGAGCAGGCACTCAAATCAGTATTTACACATTATTCCCCCTTCAGGTTCCTTGACTTCCTATGTCCCCACAGATTTCTCCTTTCTCAAAACACATGTAGGTGCAACTTAATAACTTATTGTCTTAACTGTAGTTTCATTTCATGATGTAAGCCTTATCTCTCCAGAAACAGCTTGACAGGAACTTTCTTTTCTTCCTTCTGTCCTCACTCTCTGCCTTTTCTCCCGTTTCTTCCCTCCAGTGCCTAGAAAAACTGGTGCTTAACAAGCGCTTCCAGACATCCTGACTAGAGGGCGCCCACCCTTCCTAGAAGCCTCTAGGAAAACATGTCAGCTGAGTACAAAATGTCTGGACAAGTGTGCAGGAAAAGTTTATTACCAGAAAATGAAGCAAAATGTTACTGTTGGACAGGTAAACTGACTGCAGAGGATGGTGCCAAGCATTTCTGTGTTCCTACAGAGTCACATCTTAGTCCTCAAAGAGTGCCTACCTCAGGCAACTGGAAGCCTTTTCCAATATGGTGTCTTTTCTCTTTCTCAGAGGAACCCTCACAACCTTTTTTTTTTCTTCCTCCCTCTGTGCTCTTTTTAGGGCACCTGGAGGAGTCACTAATGGCTCCATCCTGAAGTGACTTCAGTTCTTTCCTGGGTGTAAGTGAAAAAGGTTTTAAGTCCTTCAGATTCTTCTGTGGGGAGCACTTCAGGTTAATAAGCAAGCAACATTTCTTTGGTCAATAGACAATCCTGCTCAGAGAATAACTTCAATGCCTCACTCTTCTGACAAAGTTTCTGTTTCCATATTGCCTTATAAAAAATTACCTCCCATTTATTGAGCACTTGTAGTTATGACTATGAAGTATGTGCTATTATTATTCATATTTTACAAATGAGGAAACAGGCATAGAGTTTGAATAACATGCATAAGGTCTATATCTATTGCCTAATGGAAAATGGAACTGCTACTGTCCTGTAGTTAAATAAGGCATGGGGAAAAGAAAATCCTACCCTGCCACAAAAGTCTTAGTGTATGGAAATGCCTGTCCTACAGATTTCCCAGTGAGTAAGTGGGTGACATAGGTGTCTTGTTCTCCACTCAATTCCCTGAAAAGGATTTGGTGGGGTCAAGGCTTAGCCAGCAAGTACACTTTCCTAGGCCCCCCTTGGCTTTATGTGGTCAGTGGGGAACCCAGGACTTGGTGGGGAGATGAGCATTCCCTTAGGGTACTTCTCAGAAAACTTCATAGTCAGGTGATCTGGTTATTACCAAGCTGAGAAGGAAGGGTCACATAACAATAAATGGTATTAAGAAAAGCCCACCTCATCAGAAAGAAGAACAGAAGAGGACATTAATATAGTTTGTATATCTGTCCCTACCCAAATCTCATGTTGACCTGTAATCCCCATTATTGGAGGTGGGGCCTGGTGGGAGGTGACTGGATCATGAGGTTGGATTATTCATGAATGGTTTAGCACCATCCTCTTGGTGCTGTCCTTGAGATAGTGAGTGAGATATTGCCAGACCTAGTTGTTTAAAAGGGTGGGGCATCCGCTCCCCCCCGCTTGCTTGCTTCTGCTTTCGCCATGTGACGAGATTGCTCCCCTTTGCCTTCTGCCATGATTGTAAGTTTCCTAAGGCCTCCCTAGAAGCTGAGCAGATGCCAACATCATGCTTCCTGTAAAGTCTGCAGAACCATGAGTCAGTTAAACCTCTTTTCTTCAGAAATTACCCAGCCATAGGTATTTCTTTATGGCAATGCGAGAACAGCCTAATACAGACATACTACGACTCCAACCTGTGTACATGCAAACCTAAAGGAATACTCATTAGAACAGTAGCCTGACTGTATATTAACACAGTGCTGTAAATAGATAAGGAGTGGGGGAGTCTTGCATTCCACTTAAAATACTCCACTGGCTATTACTGGGAGCAAAATAAATAAAAAGTCTGAAAATCATCTTCAGAAAAAGCTGCTTTAGGTAAAACAAAATCAAATGAATTTTTTTTATCCCCAGAGAAGCTACACTCATTTGTCTGTATGTCTTTTAAAATGGACCCCAGAAAGGGGGACTCAGATCTTTGTTTTGCCCTCCACAAGTATAGTAGTGATCTACCCTCCCCTTATTCTGATGCCAAAAAGGGAGGTGGACAGTTTAGTTTTCCTCATGATAAGTCTAAAGTTGGTAAGTTTTATCTTCTCCAAATAGCAAGGCAGCACTCACTTTTGGAAAGGATTCTCCTTTTCTAGTTCATTTAAACTCATAATTTCACATAGGCCTGTAATGATATGTCACACCACAAAAAATAGGTCAGTTTTATCTTACTACTACCAATCAGAAAGAAATATGGCTTAACTGGCAAGGGGGTGTTGATTGTGAAATCTAATATGAAAACTTTAAGTCACAGTGGATGATTTCATGGATATATAACCAGTTTGTTTCCCCACAATTCACTGGGAAAAGAGCTGCTTCCAATTTTTCTGGGTGCAGGAAGCTGAGTGTCCTGCTTGGTAGAAATGTACATTGAGTGCCCTTTCAGCTTCCATGTCGTAATGATCCCTAGGAAGCCAACCACTCAGCCAGCTTCAGATGTCCAAACTGCTGAGGCTCTTGGGCCAAAGGACTTTGCCATTTTCAACGTAATACAAATTTCTATGAAGAGCTTTAAAGCAGTTATATTCTGGCTATTATGTAGAGGTCATTGTTCTGCACATTTAAATCAATCTAGTTACATTTCAGTTTGTACAATTAATATCTGCCAAGCAGCAGCTATGAATAAAACACTATGGCAAACCCTTAAGAAAAGCTGTTCTCACAGAGGGAGGAACATAAGAGACCTGGGGAGCTTTTTTCTTCTTATTTTTAACAGCTTTGTTGAAGGTTAATTCACATATCATAAATTTGCCCACTTTAAGTTACAATTCGATGATTTTTTAGTAAGTTTACAGAATTATGTCTTGTCACAATTCAATTTTCGAACATCTCCATCATCCCAGGAGCTTTAAAAAATGCTAATGCCCAGGCCTCACCTCAGAACAATTAAGTCAAACATTTTGAGGGTGATTCAGGGAGCTTTCCAAGTGGTTACAGAATGCAGCACATATTGAGAAGGACTGCTGTAGAGGATACAAACACGAGTGGTACCTAGTTCCTGCCCTTAGGAAATCTGTCATTTATGGGCATGGTTTCTCAACCTTGGCACTATTCACGTTTGGAACTGGACAATTCTTGTGAAGGGCTGTCCTGTGCATTGTGGAATGTTTAGAAGCATCCTTAGCCTCTAGCCACTGAATGCCAGTAACACCTCCCCCCACTGCCCTAAACTGTAACAAGAGGGAGGATGAAGAGGAGAAAGAGGAGGAGGAGAAGGAGAAAGAAATCTTGTGTGTGACCCAGTGTGGTATAGTGGCAAGATGGTGGTCTTTGAAGCAATAAAGGTTTTTACTGATATCCAGTTCCGCCATTGGCTGGTTTTACGATCTTAGACGATGTAGCTTTTTTTTTTTTTTTTTTTTTTTTAGATAGAGTCTCACTGTGTTATTCAGGCTGGAGTGTAGTGGTGCCATCTCGGCTCACTGCAACCTCTGCCTCCTGGGTTCAAGCGATTCTCCTGCTTTAACCTCCCAAGTAGCTGGGATTACAGGTGCACACCACCATGCCCAGCTAATTTTTGTATTTTTAGTAGAAACAGGGTTTCACCGTGTTGGCTTTTTGAGACAAGGTCTTGCTTTGTTGCACAGGCTGGAGTGCAATGGTGTAGTCACGGCTCACTGCTGCCTTGATATCCTGGGCTCAAGCGATCCTCCCACCTCAGCCTCTCACGTAGCTGGGACTACAGGTGTGCACCACCACACCCAGCTAATTAAAATGGTTTTTTTTTTTTCGGAGATGGGTCCTCACTGTGTTGCCCAGGCTGGTCTCAAACTCCTGATCTCAAATGATCCTCCCTCCTTGGCCTCTCCCAAAGTGCTGGGATTAGACGTGAGTCACCACACTCAGCCAAGGCAGTCAAATTTTATAAGCCTGTTTTCTCATAGTAATTATTCAACACATGTTAATTTAGTGTTATCTGTAAAATGAAGATAATGATATTTAGCTTGTACCTTTGGCAGGGGGAATAGATAATGTGTGTTAAATATTAGCACACAGTATAATATACTGTGTATACAGGCGGACACTGGGCGTTTACTCTGTGCCAGGGTATTGTGGTAAATGCATTACACAATATCTCATTTCCTCCTCATAACAATCCAGTTAAATAGATACAATTATTATATCCATTTTACAGATGAGGAAACTGAGACTTAGAGAAGTTAAATAAACTTACCCAGGTCATGGAGCTTGGTAAAGAGATTCAAGAACTTTGCTATATGGTAATGCTTTTTAAACTTGCTCATCATAATGACCACCTGGTATATTGTTAACAGTGCACATCTCAGGATTCAGAAATTCTGGGATAAGATCACAAATCTGTGTTTTCTACAAACACCATAGATGATTCCTATGATTAGCCAAGTTTAGAGATGGTTGCTATGATGCTTCTCATCAATATTGAATAAATATTAAATAAAAAATAAGCTAACTAAAAATTTTGGTTTGGAGGATTAGGGAAATGTGTAGGTCTTGACAGAAATGAGAAAGACAAGGCTGCCAAAGGGAGGAATAACATGTACAAAGGTAAGAGGCTTAATGTGTGGGTTGTGCTTAGGAGTTTCAGTAACAAGAGCTCACATTTACTTTGCACTTCTTGGGACCAGGTACTATCCTAAGTATGTTACCTATATTATCTTACTTAATCTTCACATAAAATTTTGTGAGGTGGTACTGTTGTTTTCTCATTTACAGATGCAGAAACTGAAGGGCAAAAAGGGAAAGCAAGTTGTATAAGAGCACACAGCTAGCAAGAGGTCAGGCCAGGATTTGAAACTAGACAACCCAATGCCAGAACCTGCCCCTCCTAACCCAAATGCCACATAGAAATTCTGGGAGGAAATTCTGGAAAGGAAAACTTGGACCAAGCTTGTAATATTAGCTGTCTGCTCTGTTAGAGCAATTTCTATGGGCCAGCTTCTCTGTGTGGATTGCATCCCACCCTCATAACAACCAAATTAAAGTACTGAAGTTCAGGGGTTGTATGGAACTTGGCCAACATAGCTACTCTGTCACAAGGATTAGATTGAAACCTTAGTCTGTCTTTACTGTTCAAATCCTTATTTTTCTATTATTTCACAATTGTCTTACTTCAAATTGTGAGGAACTTAAATACTGTAGCTTCATAATTACTTTAAAGATAATTTATTTCATGCTCATCTGTTCCGTAGTGGGCAGATCTATATAAATCTACCCCCAAAGCCTGAGGAAGCTGAGAGGTTGAAGAAAGAGGCTGAGAAGTGTTGTTTCTTAGAAAGAAACATTTAGTAGGGACTTACAAACAGAAGCCATGTCTGAGGGCAAGGCAAGATGGTGGATCCCAGCACCATCACCTCCTCCAGACCCAGGGCTTATATACCACAGGGAAAGACTATGTAGGGCAACTGAAGTTGACCTGCTAGGGAAGGGCAAGAATACTATGTCTTGGCATAGAATTTGACTAGGGGCAGGATTTATAGTCAAGGTCATTTTGACCTATGGGCAGGATTTTTGGCAAGTACATGCTCTTACCCAAGGAGCGGTAGATAAAATAGAAACCTTACAGGCATTCCCAGAACTGAGGTTAATCAGAAGTCAACATGTGGATTAGCATCCAAGATGGAGTCACTTCAGCCTCCACACCATCATTCATTGAATGAATAGTCATGTAGTCCACACATTGGGCTAAAGATACAGAACTACAGAAAACAAAGGTGTGGTCATGTCCTGGTGGGGGTCACAGCCTTGTGTGGAGACAGACACATAAACAATTAATTCTAATAGTAGGAGAGTGTAAAAAGCACTCTATCTAGAGAACAGGGAGAACTAAATTTTCCTCGAGGGAGCACAGAATTAGAGATGGTGTCTGAGCACAGACTTAAAGAATAAGCACAAGAGACATGTTGGGGACAGAGCCTCTTTTTTATTCTTCAGGCAATGAGGCACAGGTGAGTGCAAAGTCAAACCAGTATTTTAAGATTAATGGGGCCAGATGCGGTGGCTGACACCTATAATCCCAGCACTTTGGGAGGCTGAGGTGGGCAGATCACGAGGTCAGGAGTTTGAGACCAGCCTGATCAACATGGTGAAACCCCATCTCTACTAAAAATTCAAAAAATTAGCTGGGTGTGGTCATGCGTGCCTGTTATCCCAGCTACTCAGGAGGCTGAGGCAGGAGAATCGGTTGAACTCAGGAGGCAGAGGTTGCAGTGAGCCGAGATTGTGCCACTGCACTCTAGCCTGGCGACACAGCAAGACTCTGTTTCAAAAAAAAAAAAAAAAAAAAAAAAATTAATGGTAGGATGGAAAGTTGAAGTTGATTGAGAGGAGGTAAACTATTAGTCCAGTCAGCAGTCAGGAAGCTATTCTGCTAGTTCAGGAATGAGATGAGGGAGACAGCGAGATCCTAAATTAATGCTGTGAGACTAAAGAAGAGAAGGGGGAGAGAGAGAGTGGTGAATATTGTGCACGGTGAACACGCAGTTATCAGGTCCTTCTATGTGTTCTCTCCTGGACTGGAGGATTTATAGAGGAAAAGGGTGTGAGGGTGCAAATTTGAATCCTTGTAATTTACTCCCTGATCCAGCGGGTTGACCTCTTGTGCATAAAACTACCCCACCCAGACTATCTTAACTACTTTATTTAAAGGTCTTTCAGGGTTCAAAGTTTCCCCTTTGGCAAGCAAATGCTTTGGGGAGAGTGACTGATGTCTGGGAGGTAATGAATGAGAGGTCAAGACAAATTTTCCCAAATTTTTAGTTTTGCTAAAGCCTCTGAGAGCTTATGAACGAAAATTCTTTGAGTAGCTCTTTTATTATAAGTATACTATTTTTATTTCCATGTTTGCATTAAGCAATCAAGGCTCAGTTCTGAAAACAAGTACAAGTATTTACATCTTTCCCTTTCCTCATTTTTCCCCTTTGTTTTTTTCCCCCAACAAAGTTGTTCAGAGTCTTCTATGAGTTAAACATGAGCTGGGTCATTCCTGGTCCCAAATTGTAGACATGGTTGTCTTGAACCCCTGTTGCCAGCCCTGTGGGAGTCCAAAACCCACCCTAAGATGACTGCATTCCCAGGAGGCTTACAGTGTGTTCTGGTTCAAACTCCTGCTTTTCCTCAGTTTCTAGGTTGATTCATCATCTGGCAAAGCTCTCTTCTTCCTACTTAATAGGGAGTTCAGTCCCTTTCACTTCAAGCATGTGGCATAGGGCTCATTGAAGACTGAGGGACACAGAAAAAGGTTTATGTTGCAGGAAGACAAATATCTTCAAATCTAAAAAGTTATCCAGCCTTACCATTAACAGCAACTTTTTAGTAATATTCTCTCACCCAGAACAGACTGCCAGTCATACCACCTTCTTCTCCTCCTCCTAGTATCTTTTCTCCTCCCTTATATTCCCCTGTTTGTTTTATGGGAAGGTATCCAGTTCCCAGCAGCCTATACTCTCAGATCCATTGGATATTAAAATGACCCAAGAGTCCAACAGAACAGCAGGGGCTCTTTATTTAATAGAATCTAGCTTCTTAGATGGGAATTGATGGTTATAAATAGCTGGTCTCCTTCTTCTTCCCTGTCTACCCATCATTCTCTGCTTTTATTATTACATGATATCTTCTCTTTAGGAGATTCTGTCTCTTGGGTATAAGGCCTAATAAAGATTTATAAAATGTGGTAAATAGACAACAGGAAAGAAACAATTTGTACCCAAAGGGACTTGTGGGGGTTAAGAGGAAGTTCTTTTGTCCATTGATCCATCCATCCATCCATCCATCCATCCATCCATCCATCCATCCATTCATCCACCTATACATTGACAAAAGATTATCTCCTTGGCTAAACTCTACTCAGGCTCTCTTGAACTCTTTTCTCAATTAGGTCAACTTTTGGGCTTCTGTGTTCATCTCTCATTTTCCAATTTTAGTAAGAATTCTGCTAAGTTGTTTTAACCATAACTGCCTACCCTGGATATATGATTACCCTCAATATCCCCCAGGTGATGTCTGATATCCCGGCCTGCCTTTAGCAAGAATCCTGTTAGGTCAGTTTAGCCAGAATTCTTCCTTACCCCAATGTTTCCTCTTAGTTGATTTCCCTCCACTGACCTCTCTGCTTCTTAGCTATAAATTCCCACTTTTCCTTGTTGTATTTGGAGTCAAGCCCAATTTCTCTGTCCTTCTGCAAGACCCCCTTGTAGTAGCTCTCCTGTATACTTATTGTAATTGTCCCACTTGGCTAAAGTTCACCTTATTGCTCTTAACACGTGTCAGAATGAATACATTTTTTCTTTAACACCAGCCATTCACCCAGCTAACAAACACTGACTGAGAGCTGGCTAAGTGCCAGACACTGCTCTAGCTATTGGGTATATCATCATGAACAAAACACAAAGGTCCTGCCCTATCAGAGATTATATTCTAGATGGGGGGATATAAAGCTTGTTTCATGACTTGAAGGAAGGATAGAAGTTCTCTGTGTAGGTAGGAGAATCAGGATTCTCCTAACAGAGAGAAGAGAATACATAGAAGCACAGAGGCAAAAGATAGCAAGAATATAACTAAACTGCCAAAAAATTTAGTATAGTTGGCTCATGCCATGCGCAGTAGGAAGGCAAGGATGAGGGAGATGAGGTAGGGCCAGTCATGCCCGCAGCTGGGAGTTTGGGTATTATCCCGTGGTGAGGGGAAGGTCTGATAATTTGTGCAATATCTCTGCCTTCCTTCTTCCTGCCACTGTGCCCTCTCCTTCTTCTATTTCAGTCAGATGTGTGCTTGTCATCCCCACCAAATGAGTCAGATGAGATGAGAGTATTAATTTATTTGAGCGGACATATGTCTACATCATTTGGAGAAAAGGCACCAGACCCACTGTGCACTCTCAAATAATGTGATTAGGGCTAGTTTGAAAGCAGCAAACCTCAGCCCCTCCTAATCAGTCCTGCCTGCTCCAGCCCACTCCATTTCTCAGTTTGTCTTCTCAGCAAATTCTTACTTCCTTAACTCTCCACTCCTCAGCCCCTTTTGCCAACTACACGTACATACTTTGCCCATCTTATAGATTTATAACTCTCCTGTTCTTGTAATTTGTTATGGCAAATTATAATATTCACTGGATTTCTATAATGAAGAAGGGATAAATTTTTTTAGAATCTCTCTCCCTTTATGTGGGGGAAGTTACTGTAATATGAAACATGATCCAATCCTAATCTCCTCACATCTTAGATTCATGGAATTCCAAAGGCAAGATTTGGACACAAATTTAGAGACTGTCTTGTCCAAATGCTTTATTTTAGAAACGTCTTTTAGTCTCAGAGAAACTTATCTAAAATTAACAAGCTCTGGAGTTGGAAGCAACAGAGGCACATCCCAGTTCCTTTACTCAAGGGTGGGTATGTAGGGGTGTGTGTGTGTGTGTGTGTGTGTGTGTGTGCGTGTGGCTGTGTGCACATGTATGGGCATTAGAGGGGATGTGTGGTGGCAGGTCCTGGTCTAGACAGGGAAGTGAAGAAGGTCAGCCGCAATCCCACATACCTGGGTTTTGTGGCCGCTGGAACACTCCTGCAGGAGTTGAGACAGCAGAGAATCCAGGCCATCTGGCCACAAACCCAGCAGCAGGGATCCCTTCCCGTCTGCTCGAGGGTTAAGCTTTGCCCTATTCCTGCTCCTTTCAGTCTCGGCTTTTACTGCTTCTGCTACTTCTACGGACGCAGAAGGTTAATAACTTGAAAGAAACCAACTCATCAGTGTTTACAGCTTCTGCTGACTCTCAGTCTTTCATGGTTAAGGTTCCTGACTTCTCGTTCTCTCCGGGGTTCCTTCGGCTTGTGCCCATTGCTAGCTCTCTTTCCTTCTATCTATCCTTCACACCCCTGAAGACAGAGGGACTGGTTGGTTCATTTAGTTTCATAGTTATTTCTTATGGACAAAGTTCTTGTGTCAGCCACTCATGAAGGCTGCCACTGGGCCTGTGGATCAGTTGTCCTGGGGCCCATCCGCCATGACCAGGATGGCCATGGTCTGTCTTCTTCAGAAGGGACTATGGAGATGGCAGGCCCTAACACGTGTCAAACCTCCTCTCCAAGCAGACTCTGTTAGTGACTATTAGTGACTAAGGTGGAGCCTAAATTCAGGCATTCACATACCTCATTCAGTGTTCTCATGAGGCCCGTCCCGCCCGCTCCCTAGTTCTTCATATCTCTTCCTCACCAGCGTCCTGCCTCTTAGCTCCTCATTCCCCTGGGGCATCCTGTTGTTTCCCCTCTACTGCAGAGCAAGGCCCCCTCTCCCAGACCTTGGTAATATTGAACAGGATCTACTTAATTAATTATAACTGAGAATGGCTCACTCTATTTCTTTGGGTATTTATATTTTTAATGATACCTTAAGCTGAACAAATTCTCCTCTAATGTGATATTTCAGACTGCTAGAAGGAAAGAAAGATTTGGGAGGGAGCACATTTCCCCGGACTACTCCAATTATCATATAAACAAACAGTTATTTATTCTCTGTGTCAATCAATGCAGTTCCAAACTTCTATTAAATATCTCACTACCACCTCTATTTCTTGATGATGATTGATAAATTAATGAGTTTTTTTTTTTCACGAGGCACACAGAATAGGGATGTTGGGACTGGCAGAAATAATCACATTTTATGCTCTGAAAGAGGCTCAGAAGATACAAAATAAAGGACAAGAAAATCTTTTTATAAGGGGGAAATGTTTCTAATTTAAGGATTCTTAAACTTGCCATCACCCATTGCACTAAAGCAAAGCTAAGCTGTCATTCACATATCTGGAATTAGTTCTGTATTCTCAGGGAGTTATTCTTTAGTCAATAATTATTACCCTAGTGTCTACTATAGACTGGGTGATATTCAAGAAACGTCAATTAGTATCTTATGCTGAGTAAGGAGCAGCCATGGAGATACCCATTGTAAATATTTTTATTTTTACGTTCATTTGCATTTGTCTTAACTGAAATAGAGAATATGTTTATGTACATATGTGGGTATATATTTATTAATAGTCTATTTATCTTAACTTCAAGTTATATTAGCAAGATTTTTATATAACTAAACATGTAAAAAGATGTCATCCTCAAAAGATAGTATTCTAATGACTATATAATATTCTATCATTTCAATAGACATGATCATTCCCCCCGTTAATACCAGGGTTGTTCTAATATTTTCACTATTGCAATGATGCTACAATTATCCTTCTACATAAATCATTATTTACATTGATTATTATTCCTTAGAATATATTCCCAGATCTGGAAGTACTGGGCCAAAAAGCATGAAGGTTTTTAAAGTAAGAAAGTTATCTTTGATGTTAGTTGTAAAGAAGCTGCAATGGCAGACATAGAAGCAATGCCAGAACCCTCTTCTCAAGTCTGGAGAAAAATGCATTAGTAGTATTGAGTTTTCTCCATCATGGGAAGGAAACCTACTTTTAAGAAGTGACTTCCAGCTCACGCCTATAATCCTGTAATCCCAGCACTTTGGGAGTCTGAGGAGGGTGGATCACCTGAGGTCAGGAGTTCAAGACCAGCCTGGGCAACATGGTGAAACCCCATCTCTGCTAAAAATACAAAAATTAGCCGGGCCTGGTGGTAATCCCAGCTACTTAGGAGGCCGAGGAATGAGAATGGCTTGAACCCAGGAGGCAGAGGTTGCAGTGAGCTGAGATTGTGCCATTGCATTCCAGCCTGGGAGACAGAGTGAGACTCCATTTCAAAAAAAAAAAAAAAGAAGTGATTTTCGCTTTAGCCTACACTTTTTTGTTCAAGAAACATGTAACTGGGGTTTGGAATCCTTTAATATCATTAACCACATTTCATTGTCACATTAACAGTATTCTCCTGTCAGTGGACTCTATCTACTCTTAGAATAAAATCCCAAGGCCTTTCCTGACTTGAAACATCCACATAATCTGGCCCCTGCCTGCGTTTCCAGCCATGTTGTGACATTCTCTCCTTCCTTACTCTGCAACCACACACTCTTCCTTCAGTTCCCGAGTGTGCAACCTCTCTCAAAGGCCTTAGTCTAGTCATTTCTCTCTGTCTGGAATGTTTTCCCCTCATGCTCTTTACATGGTCTAGCTCTTTCTTTTCCTACAGAACTCAAGTATTTTTTCTCTTTTCTTTTTTCTTTTTTTTTTTTACATTTCAGTAGCTTTTTGGGAACAGGTCGTGGTTGGTTACATGAATAAGCTTTTTAGTGGTGATTCCTGAGATTTTGGTGCACCCAGGACCCGAGCAGTGTACACTGTACCCAGTGTGTAGTCTTTTATCCCTCACCACTCCTATCCTTCCCCCTGAATCCACAAAGTCCATTGTATCATTCTTATGCCTTTGCATCCTCATAGCTTAGCTCCCACTTATGAGTGAGAACATACTATGTTTAGTTTTCCATTCCTGAGTTACTTCACTTAGAATAATGGTCTCCAATTCCATCCAGGTTGCTGCAAATGCCATTATTTTGCTTGTTTTTAAGGCTGAGTAGTATTTTATGGTAGATGTATGTGCCACAATTTCTTTACCCACTTGATTGATGGGCATGTGAGCTGGTTCCATATTTTTGCAATTGCAAATTGTGCTGCTATAAACATGCATGTGCAAGTATCCTTTTAGTATAATGACTTCTTTTCCTCTGGGTAGATACCCAGGAGTAGGATTGCTGAATCAAATGGAAGTTCTACTTTTAGTTCTTTAAGGAATCTCCAGAGTTTTCCACAGTGGCTGTACTAGTTTACATTCCCACCAGCAGTGTAAAAGTGTTCCCTTTTCACTGCATCCATGCCAACCTCTATTATTATTTGATTTTTGGATTATGGTCATCCTTGCAGGAGTAAGGTGGTATCACATTGTGGTTTTGATTTGCATTTCCCTGATCATTAGTGATGTTGAGCATTTTTCATGTTTGTATATGTTTGTTTTTTGCAAATTATCCATTCGTGTCCTTAGCTCACTTTTTGATGGGATTGTTTGGTTTTATCTTGCCGATTTATTTGACTTCCTTGTAGATTCTGGATATTAGTCCTTTGTCAGATGTATGGATTGTGAAGATTTCTCCCAGAGTAAACATGTCTGTTTACTCTGCTGATTGCTTCTTTTGTTGTGCAGAAGCTTTTTAGTTTGATTAAGCCCCATCTCTCTATCTTTGTTTTTGTTGCATTTGCTTTTGGATTCTAGGTCATGAAGTCTTTGACTAAGCCAGTGTCTAGAAGGGTTTTCCCCATGTTATCTTCTAGAATTTTTATGGTTTTGGGTCTTAGATTTAAGTCTTGAATTGAATTCAGGATCCATCTTGAATTGATTTTTGTATAAGATGAGAGAGGAGAATCCAGTTTCATTCTTCTACTTGTGGATTGCCAATTATCCCAGCACCATAAACTCTGAAATCCCTGGAGACCAACACAGTGACTAGCATGTAGTAGTAGGCACTTGATAACTATTTGTCATTACATTTCTAGTGAATTTTACCAGTTGTGGCACTGGGACAAAGTGTCCTATAAGATGAGATATTCAATCTAAAGCCAGATTTTAAGGGAGAAACTTGGCCTTCAGGCCCAAGGTTGAAGTTGATCTGCATTACCTGATGTAGTAGCTAAACAATGTTCCCCAAAAGACATCCATGTCCCAATTCCCAGAACCTTTGAATATCTCAGAATGAAACACTGAGGTTTGCTTGGCCAAACAGCCAGTCAACAACCCACCCCAGGGTTGGGGTAGCTGTGACCTAGGTGTAAAGGCCTGAACTCCAATTTTTAAGTGCTTGTCTCAGAAGAAGTCTGAACTGCAGAAGGCACAGCATCCACTAAAGCCCAAATAAAGCCAGCAGAAGAACCTTTGTGATTACATTTACGGCCCACTGGATAATCCAGGATAGTCCCCCCATCTCAAGGCTCTTTACTCAGTTATACCTGCAAAGTCTCTTTGGCCATATAAGATCAGATGCTCAACTCAAATCTGGGTATAAATCTGAAATGGACCTCAATATGTGCTCTCTGTGAGCTGGTTGTTAGAGAGTGGCCTAGAGTAATTGAAACAATATAGATGATGGCATCAGCCTTTGGTTTGAATCTGAGATTAGGCATTTACTAACTAGCTGGGTAGCCTTGGACCAGTCATCTAACCTACCTGAGGTGTAGTTTTCTTATCTGACAAATGTCAGTAATATCTACCATACAAGATAGTTGTGGAGATTAGAAAGTCTATTAATAATGTGCTGAGTACATAGTAGCTTTGTAAAGTGGTGATTATTATTATTACTGGGGTCTCTTCCAGAAAACCATTGCCAGAGTCATGGATCAGGGACTAAGATTTGTTTTAGGTTGGTGTGCCTGCTCCCCAACCCCAAATACCAAAGAAAGAAGCAGATATCAGAAAGGGAGGTACTAAGGGATTATGTCCATTACTGTGCCCCCTCCCCTACTCCCAGTCTCAAACCCTGTTCATTACCATCAGGCAAACCATAAAATAGGAAATGTGTGTATTTCCCCACCTGGTAGAAAGCCTATGAAACTTCTGTTCAAAAAGTTACCTTTCAGTCCCATTTTCTTCACCTCTAAAATAAGGTTAATAATGGTACCTCCCATACAAGGTTATTGTAAATACAGAAATTAGATAATGCGTGTAAAACACATACCAAGGAACCTGGTGTAAGGTAACTGCTTGATAAATGTCAGCTGTTGCTGTGGTGGTAGTGGCAATGGAATCCCAGAGGTGCTAATAATGAGGAGGAGGATGGTGATGATGATGATTCAATGAGAGTGGCTTCCTGGTTAAATTCAGCAGACACCTTGGCAATTGACAGCTCTCACATGGCCTTAAGGCAGAAAATTCTCTCTCTTTCTCTCTCTCTCTCTCTCTCTCTCTCTCTCTCCCCTTAAAACAACACAAATTTATTCTCTTACAGTTTTAGGGGTCAGAAATTTGAAATCGGTCTTATTGGGCTACAGTCAAGGCATAGGCTGGACTGCATCCTGCTGGAGGCTCTAGGGGAGAATCCATTTCCTTGCTTTTTTCAGCTTCCAGAAGCCACCTACATTCCTGGATTCATAGCTTTCCTCCTCTGTCTTCAAAGGGCATCACTCTTATTGCTGCGTCCATCAACACATCTTCTTCTTCCTTTGACCTTCTGTCCCCTGTCTTATAAGGACCCTTGTGATTACATTTATAGCTCACTAGATAACCCAGGATAATCTCATCTCAAGATCCTAAGTTCAGTTACACCTGCAAAGTCTCCTCAACTCAGTTACACCTGCAAAGTCTCCTTGGCTATATAAAGTAACATTCACGGGATCTGGCCATTTAAGATGTGAATATTTTAGGGGGAGGTTATTCAGTTTACCATAACCATCCATGGTCTGTTCCCACTTCCACACTTCCTCAGGTAGACTTCAAAATCTGTCTTTGTGAATCTTCCACTGCATACACCCTTAACACCCTTGCCCTGTCCCCTTTCTGTTATAAGCTTCACCCCTGTGTAACCTAGCCCTCCACCTCCTACATGTCTGCACCCAGGCAGCTCAACAAGTCTGGACTGAAACACAATTGTGCTAGTGGGTCCCACCTGACATTTTAAACCCCAGCTCTCAGGCAGGCTCTCAGTGCTAAGGCAGAATTCTTGACATAGGCAGGGCACAGACAGGCTGGGGTGAGGTAGAATAATTCAGGCTTGAGATAATTCACAAAGCCAATGAATGACAGATAGGAAGGGTTAAACAGGGGTAAGAAAATTCTACCTGGATTTAAAAAATGAATTTTGAGGAACATTTGCCCTGATTGTGAAGACTTTGTGTGTGAAGACTTCTTGGTGATGAAATTCTAAGGCAAAGTGAAAAAATTGTGCAGCCAGCCCAAAACAAAGGAATCAATTCTAAGTCTGCTAAGAAGCTTGTGGGAAAAGGTCTTGTAAGTACAGGGCTTAACTTAATGGGGGAAGACAGAAAATGGTAAGATAAACACAGAAGGAAAAAATGTAATGCCAGGTAGAGAAAAATGCTGATAAAGGCAAAATAGGAAAGTGGATGGAGAATGACAGGGATTGCTATTTTAGAAGGGGGGCCAGAGAGGGCTTCTCTGAAGTGATGGCTGTGAGTGGAGGATACAATGAAGGAGTGAGAAAGGAGATTGGCAGGCAGAGAGAACAGCAAGTGCAAAAACCCTCAAGGCAGGGTTTGCTTGGCAAGTTTAAGGAACAGCATGGAAGTCAGTGTAGCTGGAGCAGAGGGAGCATGGAAGGGAGTGATACGTGAAGTTGGAGGGGATTCCAGAGGTCACACCATGGAGGGGCTTTGAGGACTTCTCGTCATTGTTTGGCTGCTCCTTTGATGGGGGAGACATGCCCTTCTCCCTGTATCCACCGAGAGTCATACTGCATTCAGCAATAGCCTGCTCATGTGTTACCTCTGCCAAGAAGCCCACTGGTTTCTCCTAGAGGCATTACTGACAGGCCTCCTGCATTCTCCCCTGGCTCTGGGAGTATGTGATGGAAAACCAAGTGTTTTTCTTACACACCCAATATAGAATACGTCACCTCTGGTCACCAAAATGTGTGTGGGGATTTTTTTTCTCACACACCAAAAGCAATTTTCCAGTGAACACTGTTAAAGCAAACTAAATATGGGCTGAGAAGGACTCCGTAATTTTATATTTGAGACCTGGTGGATGAACTGTAACCTTATTAAGATAAGCAGACAAGTTGAAAACCTAACTTAGGACTATGTGCCTGTAACAATAGCTGAGTCTTGGCCAATCCCAGAGGCCATATTTCAACCACTCGTAGACTGCTAAGTGTTCAAACTGTGTTCAAATAAAGCAAACACCAATCTGTAACCAATCCAGCTGTTTCCGTACCTCACTTCTGATTTCTGTATGTCACTTCCCTTTTTTGTTTGTAAATTTGTTCTGACCACGAGGCACGCTTGTAGTCTCTCTGAATCTGCTGAGTCTGAGGGCTGTCCTATTCGCGAATCATTCATTGCTCAATTAAACTCCTTTAAATTTAATTCAGCTGAAGTTTTTCTTTTAACACCAGCAACTGGGTGTCCTATAATTTAATTCAATAATGACACTATCTACCTGGAATTAGAGTCAGATTCCACAGGTTAAGGGCTCAGTCCCACAAAACTGCCCTCCAACTTCAGATGCCCATCACAATTAGTAGGTCACCTATACTTGTGACCAAACAGCTGTAAATCAGAATTCCTCCTCCTTGAGTTTGATTAATTTGCTAGAGAGGCTTACAGAACTCAGGGAAACAACCTACTTAATCTACGCATTTATTATAAACGATATTACAAAAGATACAGATGAAGAGCCAGATGGAAGAGATGCATACATAGGGCAAGGCGTGTGGGAAGGGACACAGAGCTTCCAGGCCATTTCTGGGTAGGAGTCTCTACCTATTCAGCCACCTGGAAGCTCTCTATACCATGGTCCCTTTGGATTTATATTGAAGCTTCATTACATAGGTGTAATTGATTACATTTCTGGTCATCGAGGATCCATTTAACCTTCAGCCCCTCTTGCGTTCTCTGAGATCAGGGAATGGGGCTTAAAGTTTCAGCCTTTAGTCATATGGTTGGTTCCCCTGGCAAACAGCCTCCATCCTGAGGCTATCCAGAAGCCCACCGAAAGTTGCCTCACTAGAACAAAAGATGCTCTTATTACCCAGGAAGTTCTAAAGGATTTAGGAGCTCTGTGTCAGACACTCGTATCACTCAGGAAATTACAAAGGTTTTAGATGCTCTGTGTCAGGAACTAGGGTCAAAGACCAAATATTAGAACAAAAGATTCTCCTAGCATCTCTATCTACAAGATAGAGCACTTCTATCAAAGCAGGAACAGAGACCAAATACATGTTTCTAACTAGATTGTGGTATTGCAAGTACCTTACCTTGGGGGAAGCTATCACTTCTCAAGATCACAGTCTTTGTATAGGACAAAGTTACCTTCCCATGAGAGTTGAAATGATCCATCCCTTCCCAAGCCCCAGTATCTGAGTCACCACCATGTAATAGGATCTTTTAGAGGATTTGCTTTTTCCTCTTATATTTGAAAAACAATTTTGCTTCCTTCTCCATTGTCTGGTTCTGTTTACATCTTATATTTTTGCCTTTTTATATAATTCACATTCTTGGCATTTGGGGTGGTAAGGAGTTCACAAGTATAGGAGGGGTCAGGGAGGAGGAGGGGTGAGAGAAGAGGGAGGAGCTTGGACAAAGAAGCTGAGAGCATAAGATCAAAAGAAGAGTAAAGAAACAAAATAGAAAAAAGAAGGGGCAGTCTGATCCCTGGGAAATCAGCTCTCACACCATTGCTGTCCATGGGAGTGGGACTCCTTGACTCCTGCCTGCTGTAGCTAAAATGACAGAGGGCTGGGGGGCTCATATTTGAGGATACGAAGGGTAAAAATGAGCCTCATGTTTTAAATGCAGTCATTAAAATGGTTAACATTAAGGACTAAAAAGGCAAAACCCAATGTTAACAATAACAATAATAAAGATAATATATAACTTTTTTTAATGGATCTCATCACTCTGGTGTTTTTTTTTTATTATTATACTTTAAGTTCTAGGGTACATGTGCACAACGTGCAGGTTTGATACATAGGTATACATGTGCCATGTTGGTTTGCTGCACCCATAAACTCGTCATTTACATTAGGTATTTCTCCTAACGTTATCCCTTCTGAGGCCCCCAAACCCTGACAGGCCCCGGTGTGTGATGTTCCCCACCCTGTGTCCAAGTGTTCCCATTGGTCAATCCCCACCTATGAGCGAGAACACGCAGTGTTTGGTTTTCTGTTCCTGTGTTAGTTTGCTGAGAATGATGGTTTCCAGCTTCATCCATGTCCCTGCAAAGGACGTGAACTCATACTTTTTTATGCCTGCATAGTATTCCATGGTGTATATGTACCACATTTTCTTAGTCCAGTCTAACATTGATGGGCATTTGGGTTGGTTCCAAGTCTTTGCTCTTGTGAATAGTGCTGCAATAAACATACATGTGCATGTCTTTACAGTAGCATGACTTATAATCCTTTGGGTATATACCCAGTAATGTGATTGCTGGGTCAAATGGTATTTCTAGCTCTAGATCCTTGAGGAATCACCACACCGTCTTCCACAATGGTTGAACTAATTTACACTCCCACCAACAGTGTAAAAGCATTCCTATTTTTCCACATCCTCTTCAGCATCTGTTGTTTCCTGACTTTTTAATGATTGCCCTTCTAACTGGCATGAGATGGTATCTCATTTTGGTTTTGATTTGCATTTCTCTGATGACCAGTGATAATGAGCATTTTGTCATGTGTCTGTTGGCTGCATAAATGTGTTCTTTTGAGAAGTGTCTGTTCATATCTTTGCCCACTTTTTGATGGGGTTGTTTTTTTCTTGTAAATTTGTTTGAATTCTTTGTAGATTCTGGATATTAGCCCTTTGTCAGATGGGTAGATTGCAAAAACTTTCTCCCATTCTATAGGTTGCCTGTTCACTTTGATGGTAGTTTCTTTTGCTGTGCAGAAGCTCTTTAGTTTAATTAGATCCCATTTGCCAATTTTGGCTTTTGTTGCATTGTTTTTGGTGTTTTAGTCATGAAGTCTTTGCCTGTGCCTATGTCCTGAATGGTATTGCCTAGGTTTTCTTCTAGGGTTCTTATGGTTTTAGGTCTAACATTTTAAGTCTTTAATCCATGTTGAATTAATTTTTATATAAGGTGTAAGGAAGGGATCCAGTTTCAGCTTTCCACATATGGCTAGCCAGTTTTCCCAGCACCATTTATTAAATAGGGAATCCTTTCCCCAT